>NC_000005.10:155159689-155460006 GCF_000001405.40 Homo sapiens | reverse complement strand
GAGACAGAGAGAGTTGCTGTTTTTTTTCCTATGCAAATGTATTTTCTGGATTTAGAAAAAATACCACCAGAATTCCAAGCAAAGTACCTTTGTTTAAAAAAAAAGAGAGTGATATCACAATATACACGGCATTTGTAAAGTGTCATAGGCTAGGGACCAAGCAGCCTCTTGGGTTCCCTTTGAGTTGGTTGAATGGGGCAGGTGGCAGAGGATGAGAGAAGAGCTGCCTTCTCTCCCACTGAGAGCCAGTTGGAAGGCTTTCATCTAGAGAGTACTGCTGCAGAGCTTAAGAAGATCTCTTCGGTTGAAATTTATAAATAGAAGTAATACTATTTTGTAATAATCAAAGCACGTTTACATATATTGTTTTCTCTTAAGTTCATAAAACTATTTCTCACCTGTAAAAGGAGATGAGAATTCCTACCTGATAGGACAGTTTTGCAGAGAAAACAGAATGATGTTTATACAAGACTTGGTATCTTGCCTGACCTATAGTCAGCATGCAATAAATGGTAGCTGCTGTTATCATGACTAGCATTATTATTATCGCTGTCCCAAATTGGGTTTCCTGGGACAGATATTTGCACATCAGCCATTTACTAGGGAGTGCTCTCAGAATCAACACCTGTGGAAGGAAGGAAGAAGGAAGCAGGATTGGGCAGAGGGAGAAGGTGAATTGCGACAGTTACAACAAAGGCCTCAGGGCTTTTTTGTCAGGGCCACAGGGACATCTGGTCCAGGCTGGCTCTTCAAAATTGTCACTGGCTGGGGCAAGGAGTCCGGGCCTTTCTACCCCTATATGGATGAATCAGTATTATAGGTTGCTCTAGAAGGAGACAGACCTGGGAAAAGCAGTTTGTTTCAACTGAGGCCATCCCTAAAGAGGGCTCCAAGCTGAGGGCCATCTTCCAGGAGAACTTCCAGAACCTAGAGGAGTAAACAATTCATTTCTAAGAGGATTCCTGAGTGCATCACAGAGCCCATCCCAATTAGAAAGTACAAAGAGTGCTTCAGAGGGCTTATATGACTTGTCCAAGACCACAGCACAGAAATAGCAGTGCTAGGAACAAAAGTTATGTTTTCTGACCTCTAATTTCATCCTCTTCAAGGGCCCGGGACTCTTCCAAATCAGCTGGCATTTCTACTCATTATTGTGCCAGCAACTCCTGCACCTCATCTGATCCTGCAGAAATCAAGGAACATCTGCTTAAAGTAGTTGTTGTGTCTTTTCCTGAGGATCAGATGGTTAAGTTTACTCCAGAAAAAGAAAAAAGAATTATGGAAAGAGGTTTTTTTTTCAACTTATGTTTACCCCTACGAAGATTCTCATATTTGCACCATGTTCCCCATCATTAGAAACACACACACACACACACACACACACACACACACACACACACACACACGATCCCAAGAGGATTTGTTTAAATGAAGATTTTGGCCATAGACCTACCAAATTAGAATCTCTAGGGATGAGGCCCTGGAAGCTGCCTTTCTCACAATAACCTCAAGTGAGCCTTAAGCAGACTAAAGTCTGTGAACTACTGCTATAAATGACCCATATAACTGGTCTAAATTTATGATCACATTTTTACTTTGCACCTATAAACTGACTTTGAAAGCAATTTGTAGAATCAAAGAATTCTCACATTAAAAGGCATTGTGGGTATTATTGAGTCTCCATGTTTGAGAAGAAAAAACTCAAGGCCAAAGAGGAAGAGTAACTTGCCCAGGGTAGAAGAAGAGATTAAGGACCAGAGCCAGGCTCTCAATCTGAGTCAAGTCCTCTTACCGCTCTAACAGACTTCTTCAAAGAAGAGATTTAAACCAATTTCCAGAAATAAAAACAACTTTAAAAATGTTCCAGGGTTATTCTCAAAGACACAAGATATTGAAATTTATAATATCTCATTCATCTAGGTCTGTTGTAAATACCCTATAACATCACCTAGAACTGTTCCAACTCCTGTGACTAGAAATACTCAAAGCCTAGTTATTTGAATATGGTTGACCCAATGGGAAGAGAAGACTTGAAAGCCATCCATGCCAAAATAAATGGTATTTCCTTCTGTATCAGTCCATTCTCATACTACTATAAAGATACTACCTAAGACTGGGTAATTTATAAAGGAAAGAGGTTTAATTGAATTAACTCACAGTACCACATGGCTGGGGAGGCCTCAGGAAACTTTGCCTCAGGCAGAAGGCAAAGGGAAAGCAAAGCATGTCTTACATGGTGGCAGAAGGGAGAGAGAGAGAGCAAAGGGGGAACTGGCAAACAATTTTAAATCCATAAGCTGTCATGAGAATTCACTCACTATTACAAGAACAGCATAGGGGAAACCGTCACCATGATCCAATCACCTCCCACCAGGTCCCTCCCTCACACCTGGAGATTACAATTCAAGATGTGATTTGGGAGGGGACACAAAGTCCAACCATATCACCTTCTAAAGTTTGCTGGAAATGAACCTTAAAATCTAACTTATTTTTATTCAGACATGAGCTTGGGTTTTCAAATATAGTCCTTAAAGAAGGAGAGGGAGAGAAGAGGGACACTTCAGGGCACAATCACATTTCAGAGATTTTTTTCACTTGAAATCTCTCAGGCTTTGATTAATAGCACTTACAATAACAACAGCAATGACAATGATGATGATAGAAATCAACCTACACTTTTCTCTTTGATGGTTCCCACACTCAGTGACTCAAATAAGCATAAAATATGAAAGATGTGGCTGCTTCTGTTGGCATCTGTGGTTTTTCAGGTCTCCAAATGGCCTGTTGTTAATTCCATTTATAGCAAATTGAAGAAATACATAAACTCTTAACTTGGGTACCTATGAACATATGCCAGGCTGGCATGCTGGCAGTCAAAAATCTGCCTCAACTGGTGTTCCTGACCATTAATTCCATTAAAAGTTTCTAAAGTCAAAACCCAGCTTAAAGTGAGATGCAGAACATTTTTGATTCTGTTCAGGGAGGTGATATGGGATAGTGGGGAACCGAGCCGAGAAGTCAGGAGGCTAAAGTCTCCAACTCTGGCTTCCACCAACACATGGTGCATGTTTTAAAAACATTCCTTTCTTGATGCTTCAAGCATTGTGTCTACTGCTGGGTGCTTTTCATGCCTGAGTCTTGTTACCTGAAGCTGTTCATAACATCTAAGGCTATAGGAACTTTAGGGTGTTACATGGACCATATCCATGTTTCAAAGCTAACCTGACTTTTCATCATCCCAAGGGGGAAGAAAGAGCTAATTTCTTTTTTATCTAAAACAAAGAGGGGTGGGGGAGAGAGGAAGGCATGGTGGCTGTAATCCCAGCACTTTGGGAGGCTGAGGTGGGCAGATCACTTGAGTCTAGGAGTTCAAGATCAGCCAGGGCAACATGGTGAAACCCCATCTACACAAAAAATATAAAATTTAGCCAGGCATGGTGGCACACACCTCTAGTCCCAGTTATTTGGGAGGCTGAGCAGGGAGGATCACTTGAGCCCAGGAGGCAGAGGTTGCAGTGAGCCAAGATCAAGCCACTGCACTCCAGCCTGGGGAAGAGAGTGAGACCCCGTCTCAAAAAAAAAAAAAAAAAACAAAGCAAAAAGACTGCAGACGCAACCTTAGCAGTGCTGTAACCACAGATATGGCCTCAGAATACAGAGCTCAAAGATCAAAAAACTGGTCACCTCTGACACTCATTAATCATTTATTGACCACGAGTCCTTGTCTTCCCAGAATGAGTCCAGACTGGAGTATGCTAAATATTAGGATTTAAGATGCTTTTCAGTAGCCACTCTAAGCAGAAATGGCTTCTCTTTCACCACTGAAAACTTTCCCATTTAGAAATGTATTGGGTTCAAAATAGATGTTTCTGGAGAAGTAGGAAAGGACTATCAGTCATCTACACTTCAGTGCAGATTTCAGAGTACCATTTGTATCAGGGTCCTTTGTAGGCCTTCAACAGGAATTAACACTGACTTCACGTAAGGGAGAAAGTAAAATTTAACCAGAGGATCTGGGATTACTCATAAACCTGACAGAAGAGCCAATTAACCAGAAATTGAAGTGCACTGGCAGCAGGGCTGCTCCAAGATTCCAACCCCCAGGAGACAGAACCTGAGTGATCAGTGTTGGCTCATTGCTTGCCCACTGCCTGCTCTACCCTAGACCAAGGGCAGGGACCACATCAGCTATATAACACTATATAACATATTGTTTAGAGTAACACAAGAAAACGAGTGGGCAGTAGCTGAGGGAATCCACCCTGGGCCACACCCACTTCTTCTTCTCTGCTGGCTGGGTACTCACAGAAGGTACACACATTAGAGCTCTGAGTACATTCTTCTGATAAATAATGTGACAAAGAAACGAGCCATAGCCATTCCATATTTGCATATGAACTAAAAACATTAAAAGAATAAAATAGATCATTGATAGAAATGCTAAAATAAAGACATAAACTATATAACAATTATTTATTGAGTACCCAATCTGTTCCAATAGATAATAACTCTTCCATTGTGTTGAAGTGTCATTTTATGTGGTTCTTGCTCTTAGGGAAGTTTTACTCTACTTGGAGTTTAATTGTGAATTCATTCATCAGTGCAAGACACTGGACATACTGGTAGATGAAAAAGCATGGTCCTGCTCCTCAATACAGCTCACAAACTAGTGCAGAAGAAGATGTCAGACTACAAAATAAATATTAAATACCACATCATGACATGAAACAATCGAGGGGTATATCACCAGAAAACTATAACTAATATAGAGAGACAAACATTTGTTAAAGGGAACACATTCAAGGTTATCCCTGTAACTTTGCATTCTTACAAGTTTTCTTAAATAGAAGAAAAAGAAATGTTCAGGCTTATTTATAGATACAAAAACAATAAATAAAATAATAACATTTATTCTGTAGGTTTGCTGTGTGTAAAGCACTTTTCCAAATGATGTTGTTCAATCCTCATAACAACACAGTTAAGTAAGTATTAGTATTTTATTTTATCCTATAGGACAACAGAGTTCAGAGAGGTCTTTGTCTGAGGTTCTATAGCAACTAGCTGGGGGAGTCACTATTTCAACCCAAGTCTGCCCAACTCCAGAGCCCAACCCTCTGAACCACTCCAATCACAATGCCATGAGAATTTCATCCATCATGTGTGACATGGTGGAAAATCGGCGAGAACACTGATGTTGGAACTCAGTGAGTTCTGAGAGTGAAGAAATGAAATGATTCCCCATCTGGATTCATCCTATTAGACTCCTGGTCCCCTTCCCACTGTATCTTGGCTAGAGAGTTTCAATATGCTGGGGGAAGCAGTCGAACTCCTGGGGCTTGCTGTCAGGGCTAAGAAAAACCAGTTCCAAAAGCCAATGACTTCAGCATCTAGGTAGAGTTAGAGGACTTCCTTCCTGACATGAGTGGAGCCCCCAGCCCAGTGACCAGTTGGGGTCAATTACAGTGAATTTCAGGATATGTGCAGGACTTCTGGAAAACAACATGCAGAAAAGACACAGGCCAGAGCTGCTACAGCCATCTTATCACCAGGGGAAAACTGGTATGAGGATAGAGCCAACAGAGAGAATGGGGCCAAGAGACAGGAAGAGAAATCAAATCCAGGTGAGTTGTTTACACTCCTGTATCCATCCAGGCCAGAAGCACCTTCTGCCATTAACACTGCTCAGTTACGTGAGCCAATTAAGACTCTTTTTGCCTAAAAACCTGATGTCACATCTTTAGTCACTTCCGAACAAGAGTTCTAACTGTTCAATGTAAAAGTGGTTTACGAGAAGGCTGAGAGCGTCTTGCCCAAGGTCATGGAGTCTTTTAACGGATGAGTGGGTCCATGAGCACAGATACCCAGTACCCAGCTCAGAGTATATTCTACCATACCCCAGGCCTCCTGCTTTTTGGCATCAATAAAAACTCCTTCCTCCCTTTTACAAAGGAAGGTTTAAATCCCTTCTGACCTGGAATCACCTATCAATGACCCAGATCTTAACTCATTGTGTTCTTATCTGCTCAGGACAAGAGGGTCACTGGACATAATTTCCAAATGTGCAGAGTCACAGTGTCTTTAATTATCTGTCTGACATGCAAGAATGGCCCCCAGAGCAAGGGCTGCACAACCAACTGTTCCCCTCAGTGTGATTTCTATGGCATGGCCACAGCCAGCTTCTAAATTTAAGTTCGTACTGCCTTTTAATTGGGTAGTTAAGTATTGTTTCCCACCCACTCTTGCTACTAGCTTAGCCTCAGGCTACTAATTACCAGCAGGACAGGTCACTTGTCACATCTGCACCAATTCCATCATTTCTGACATCCTCATACAATGACAGGTTCACCCTTTTCCTTTTAGCAAAACCGGGTTGGCCAGTATTTGGTTTCATTTTCATGAATGCAGGATACCCAGTATTTCTATCAGTTACTTAAATTATTTAGTTGAAATGTTCTGCAGCTAAAATGTGTCTGTCTAGTCAACAAATATTTATTTATTCAAGGTTTTCTCTGTGCCCACCCTCTGCTAGCCCCTGAGCATAAACAAGAGAGTTAAATAGACAAGGTCTTGCCTTCATGGAGCCTATTGTCCAGTGAGAGAGATGGACAATGACCTAGCAAAGAATCAAATAAACATAGACATAAATACAAATTGTGTTCTGAGCCAAAAAAAGCAGAAGGAAAAAATGCTATGAGAAAAAAAAAAAAAACAGGAGAACCTAATTCAGATAGGGAAGAGAAGGCAAGGAAGGCCTCTGGTAGGAAGTGACAAGCAAACTGAGACCCAAATGATGAGGAGATGCTTGCAGGTAAAAGTGGAGAGCAAGGCACTGTACACACATGGAACAGCAATGGAGAAACCTAGAGGCAGAAAGGCTCAGGATGGATTCAAAGAACCAAAAGAAGGCTAGACTACGTAGCAAGCAAAGGAGAGAGAGCTGAAGATGAAGCTGAAGGCTAGAAAGGGCCTTGTGGGTCATGTTAAGAAATCTGGATTTTATCAAAAGCCAATGGAGAGAGTTCATTTATGCATTCATTTCATCAGCCAGTCAACAATTTACTAAGCAACTGCCATGTACTGGGCACCACTCTAGGCACCAAGAATACATCAATACAGAAAAATAAACAATTCCCTGTCTTCCTGGAGCTTACATTCTAGGTGGGGACTCTAACAGAAGGAGGTTGTAGTTCTTCCATATTTGAAAAAAGATAGCTTTGTTGTTCTATGAAGAATGGAAGAGGGAGGCCAGGCAGCTATTGTCTGGCATCTGCAGGAGAGATGGAGAACAGTGGAGGCTCCCTGTGCTCCTGAGTAGAGGGTATTATTCCAGACACCCCCTTTAAAGTAGCATTTTATGCTGGGTTTGTTTGTTTTTTTTTTTTTTTTTTTTTTTTTTTTTTTTGCAGTGGGGGTGGGGTCTGGGGGGATTTGGTTTGGTTTTGGCTAAAATAGTACTGGTTTTGCGTGGCTTCATGACTTCATCTTCCCAGTGGTCAAAAGAAATATTTTGAGAAGATGGATAAAGCTGAATTGCAATCTATGGCTTAGAAATGACCAATGCTAGTCAATGCCTTTGGGACTTTTTGAAGCAAGAAGCTATGTGCACCTAGGATACGTGTTGAACACAGCCGTTGGGCTAAAGGAAAAATATATACCCAATTCCTCAGTCCTCCCTAATAACACATCCCTTTCTCTTAATAACCTAGCTATCTTTCCATGGTTTTCCTTCTCTTTCTATCTCTTCACCTTACACACACACACACACACACACACACACACACACACACACACACACACATAGTCTTTTAAGGCAAAACCAACAGAAATAGGGCCCTACAGAAAATGAATTCAGAACCATGACCACATAATCAAAACAGGTGAATCTAGCTTTTCTCAAGATGTGATCCAAGAATCATCTGTATCACGAGTACTGAGGAGTAAATAAATGTCCAGATTCCTGTGTAACCACCATCCTCTCCACCAACTTACAGGGTAAAATCCAGGAATCCTCATATTTCACACATTACCCAGGGATTTCTGCATCACTTCTCTCACTGCAAGAACTAAGTCACTCAACTAAAAGTAAACTACACAATTTAAGTGTCTGCTCATTTCTCTATAACTAGGGGTTGATAAGAACCAAGGACTATGACATGTTCTCTAAAAGCCTTTCCTTCCCTGAGAGGCAGGATTTCGTAGTGTTAAGTTAAGGGGCTTTGGGATGAGCCACATCTAGGTTCAAATGCTAGCTGTAACCATAACTAGCTATGTAGCCATAACAAGTTATTTAATATCTTCAGATCTTAGTTTTTCTTATCTGGAAAATGGAGACAGCACTACTTCATGTATTTACTGTGAGGATTAAATGAAGCAAGAAAATAATAGAATAGGTCTGGAATATGTTAGGTGCTTAATATATGACCATCATGATGATCATTGTTCTGTGATTTTTTTTCCTCTCCTTCACCTCTGCTACTTACTATTAGGACCTGGAAGGGGTATTAGAGAAGTAAAAGATGGGGAAAGATTATAGAATAACAGATACCTGTTCTTTCCTCTCTATAAGTGAATTTTATTCACTTTCATCACCATTCAAGGAACGGTTCTTTAGCTGAGGACACAGATAATGCCAGCCTGGATCCCTTATGTAAGTGTAGAAATAGTTGTTCCCACAAGGAATAGAAGCAGAACTCCCACACTCTCACTCTCCCATGCTCACATAAGGCTGCAAAAGCTGGGCTTGTCAGAAGTTACCTCTTTGATCCGCCCTAGAATTAATTTATGCCACTGGGGGAGAGGGCATGGAAGAGAGAGGAAAGGAAGGGGGCATCTAATGCCATCACCAGAATTCAGTTCTGTTTTAAACTTGAAACCTAATAAAGGTAGGAACCTCTTAAGAAATAAGTTGCAAAAAACATATTATTCCCAAATGGCAGACGGGAAACCAAAAGCTTAGAGAAGCAAAATATACTATTCAGGACTGTCAATCATAATAAACCAAAAGATGCTTCTCTCACCACTTTTCCCTATTCTAATGGCTATCTCCTTGCTGTAACTCATCTTTTTCCTTTTTGGATGTAGCCCTCTGATATGGTTTGGATGTTTTGTCCCCTCCAAATCTCCTGCTGAAATGCAACCTCCAATGTTGGGGGTGGGCCTGGTGAGAGGTATTTGGGTCATGCAGGTGGATCCCTTATGAATGACTTAGTGCCCTCCCCATGATAATGAATGAGTTCTCACTCTGTGAGTTCACTCGAGAGCTGGTTGTTTAAAAGAGTCTGGAATCTCTCTTGCTTCCTCTCTCTTGTTATGTGACATGCCTGCTCCCTCTTTGCCTTCTGCCATGATTGTAAGCTTCCTGAGGCCTCACCAAAAGCCAAGCAGATGCTAGTGCCATGCCTGTACAGCCTGTAGAACCATGAGCTAAATAAATCTTTTTCAAAATAAATTACCCAGATTAAGGTATTCATTTATGGCAACACAAATGAACTAATACAGAAAATTGGTAATGAAGAGTGGGGCATTGCTATAAAGATATCTGAAGGTGTGGAAGTGGCTTTGGAACTGGGTAATGGGCAGAGGTTGGAAGACTTTGGAGGGAGCAGAAAAAGAAAGGAAGACAAAGGAAAGTTTGACACTTCTTATACATTGGTCAAATGATTGTGACCAAAATACTGATAAAAATATGGATAGTAAAGTCCAGGCTGATGAGGTCTCAGATGAAAATGAGGAAGTTATTGGGAACTGGAGAAAAGATCACCCTTGTTACACCTTAGCAAAAATGTGGCTGCTTTATGTCCACATCCTAGGGATTTGTGAAACATTGAACATGAGAATAATGATGACTTAGGGTACCTTGCAGAAGAAATTACTAAGCAACAAGTATTCAACATGTGGCATGGCTACTTCTAACAATCTATAATTGGATACAGGACCAAGGAAATGACTTGCAGCTGGACATTATATTTAAAAGAGAAGATCATTAAAATTTGGGAAATTTTCTGCCTGGTCATGTGGAAAAAGAATTTTCAGAAAAGAAATCCAAGGCTGTGAAACAACCAATTGCTAGAGAGATTCACAAGACTAAAAGGGGGCCAAGTGCTAACAGCCACAACAATGGGAGGAAGGTCTCTAAGACATTTTAGAAGACTTCAAGGCAGCCCCTCCCATCACAGACCCAGCGGGCTAGATGGAAAGAACAGTTTTGGGCCAACCCCAGGGCCCCACTGCCCTGTGCAGCTGTAAGAGGCTGCTCCCTGCATCCTCACTGCTCCAGCTCCAGCTGCAGCTCAAAGGACCCCAGGTACAGCTCGAGCCACTGCAAGCCATAAGCCTTGGTGGCTTCTATGTGGTGGTAAGCTTGCAGGTGCACAGAATGCAAGCATGAAAGAGTCCTGGAAGGTTCTCCCTAGATTTTAGAGGATGTATGGGAAAGCCTGGGTACCCAGCCAAAAGCCTGCCACAGGGGCAGAGCCCTCACACAGAGACTCCGTTAGAGCAGTGTTCAAGGTAAATGTGGGGTTGGAACCCCCACACAGAGTCCCCACTAGGGCATGGCCTAGTAGGGCTGTGGGAATGGGGCTACCACCCTCCAGACCCCAGAATGGTGGAGTCATGAGCAGCCTATATTCTAAGCCTAAAAAAGCTGCAGGCACTCAATTGCAACCTGTGATAGCAGCTACAGGGGCTGTACCCTGCAAAGCCACAGAGGCAGAGCTGCCTGATGCCTTGGGAGCCCGTCCCTTGTGTCAGTGTGCTCTGAATGTGGGACATGGAGTCAAAACAGATTATTTTGCAGCTTTAAGATTTAATGCCCCTCCTGCTGATTTTCAAACTTGCTTGGGGCCTATTGCCCCTATCTTTTAGCTGATTTATCCCTTTTGGAATGGAAATGTTTACCCAATGTCTGTACTGCCATTGTATCTTGGGAGTAAATAACTTGTTTTAATTTTACAAGTTAATAGGTAGAAGGAACTTGCTTTCAGACTTTGGATTTTTGAGTGATGCTGGAATAAGTTGTGACTTTTGGTGACTATTGGGAAGAGATTAATGAATTTTGCAATGTGAAAAGAACATGAGATTTGGAGACCCAGGGTCAAAATGATATAGTTTGGATGCTTCATCTGCTCCAAATTACTCTTGAAATGTGACCTCCGATGTTGGAGGTAGGCCTGGTGGGAGGTGTTTGGCTCAAGTGGGTGGATCCCTCATGAACGGCTTGGTGCCCTCCCCATGGTAATAATTGAGTTCTCACTCTGAGTTCATGTGAGAGCTGGTTGTTTAAAAGAGCTTGGAATCTCTCTTGCTTTCTCTCTCTTGCCGTGTGACATGCCTGCTCCCCGTTAACCTTCCGCCATGATTGTAAGCTTCCTGAGTCCTCACCAGAAGCCAAGCAAATGCTGGTGCCATGACTGCAGAACCATGAGCCAAATAAACCTCTTTTCTTTATAAATTACCCAGCTTCAGATATTCCTTTATGGCAACATGAACAGACTAACACACCTGGTAACCTCATCTTTAGATCTGACTTTGGAAGCCAAGGGCGTAAAATAAAATGTGCATTGTTTAGATGGAGAAAAGGAAAAAAATAGAAATGAAGAAGTACTTTCCAACCAGGTCCTCAGTTCATGACAGCAGAGATGACACACACAGAAACATTGAGAATGTCCAAGTGAATGTCTGTTAATGAACGACAATACTCCCAATAGAGAAAAAGGTACATGGTAGGGCTTCTATTTTGAATTCCTGCTCATGCTTAGATCTGGGGAGATTCTGTTGCTCGTTGTAATGGCTACTGTCTTTGCCTAGAACTTCCATTCTAAATCCTCTCCCCACCTTGTTCTAGCAAGAGACTCTAATACTCTGACCACAAAGATGAAATATAGTCCTTACAATCCTACATTGTACCACATGCATTGGCAACAGTATTTGGTCCAAGGTTATATATGTGAACCTAACCATTCAGAGTGCTTCCCAGGAATCTTCCAAAGGGGTTGACTGAGAATACTATCTTTTCCTCTGTATTCACAAAGGATGAGCGTGTGGCCCTTGATGGCATGGGGCCATATCTTAAGCAAGGAATGTCATGAGGAAGTGAAGCTGATGCATTGGAGAAACTTTGGGATACTAAGAGACCATGAATCTAATTGCCATCAGGTCCTGAGCTCCAGGCCCTGATATGCATCTCTTTCTTTGATTCAATAAAGTAACAGCTTTTCCTTAATCTAAAAGCATTTGGGTCACTATCACTTGGAATCCCATGAATGCTAACATAAGGGCCAAAATTACAAATCCCAATAGAACGGGTTCTGTGCTGACTGTTATAAAAATAAAAAAACAAATATGAACAGACACTTCTCAAAAGAAGACATTTATGCAGCCAAAAGACACATGAAAAAATGCTCATCATCACTGGCCATCAGAGAAATGCAAATCAAAGCCACAATGAGATACCATCTCACACCAGTTAGAATGGCAATCATTAAAAAGTCAGGAAACAACAGGTGCTGGAGAGGATGTGGAGAAATAGGAACACTTTTACACTGTTGGTGGGACTGTAAACTAGTTCAACCACTGTGGAAGTCAGTATGGCGATTCCTCAGGGATCTAGAACTAGAAATACCATTTGACCCAGCAATCCCATCACTGGGTATATACCCAAAGGATTATAAATCATGCTGCTATAAAGACACATGCACACGTACGTTCATTGCAGCACTATTCACAATAGCAAAGACTTGGAACCAACCCAAATGTCCAACAATGATAGACTGGATTAAGAAAATGTGGCACATATACACCATGGAATACTACGCAGCCATAAAAAATGATGAGTTCATGTCCTTTGTAGGGACATGGATGAAGCTGGAAACCATCATTCTCAGCAAACTATTACAAGGACAAAAAGCCAAACACCGCATGTTCTCACTCATAGGTAGGAATTGAACAATGAGAACACTTGGACACAGGAAGGGGAACATCACACACCAGGGCCTGTTGTGGGGTAGGGGGAGTGGGGAGGGATAGCATTAGGAGATATACCTAATGTTAAATAACAAGTTAATGGGTGCAGCACACCAACATGGCACATGTATACATATGTAACTAACCTGCACGTTGTACACATGTACCCTAAAACTTAAAGTATAATAAAAAAAAAAAAGAAGAAGACTAGGACTTCTTATTTTTAAGACTAAGACCAGGAGAAAATTTTTTTCAAATCACATCTGATAAATAACTTATATGTAGAAAACAAAAAGAACTCTTAAAGGCAATAATAATAAAGCAAACAACTCAATTAAAAATGAGTAAAGGATTTGAACAGATAATTCATCAAAGACGATATATAGACAGCAGATAAGCACATGAAAGATGTTCAACATCACTAGTTACTAGGGAAATGAAAATTAACTCTCTAACTGGGCTGAGAATGTAAAACGGTATAATCACTTTGAAAACAGTTGGGAGATTTTTAAAACATTAAATGTACACTTACTGTATTCGTTTGCTAGGGCTGCTATAACAAAGTACCATAAACTGGGTGGCTTAAGCATTGGAAATTTATTATCTTACAGTTTTGGAGGACAGAATTCCAGGTTGGTTCCTTCGGAGGTCTGTGAGGAAGAATCTGTTCCAGGCTCCTCCCTGGCTTCTGATGCTTGACTGGCAATCTTTGGCACTTCTTGGCTAGAACCATAACCCCAATCTCTACCTTTATCTTTATATGGCATCCTCCCTGTGTGCAGGTTTTTGTCAAAATTTCCTTTTTTATAAGAATAGTAGTTATATTGGATTAGAGTTTACCATGATGACTTTATTTTAACTTGATTATCTCTGTGAAGATCCTATTTCAAAAAAAGGGCACATTCTGAAGTACTTGGGGTTAGAACTTCAAAATGTTGTTTTTGAGGAATATAATTCAACCTGTAACACCTACCATACAATTCAGCCATTCCATTCCTAGGTATTTATCCCCCAAAATAACAACATATATTCATATATTCACAGCCACTCTATTCATACTAGCCAAAAACTTGAAACAAACCAAAGGCCCACCAACGAGTAAATGCCTAAACAAATTATGATATATCACTTATACAATAGAATATTACTCAGCAATAAAAGTGAATTAACTATTGATATACACAATGATGAATAGCAAAACAAATTATACTGAGTAATAAAAGTGAGGTAACGAGAAATACATCTTTTGTGACTCCATTTACATAAAACTTAAGAAAGTGCAAAGTGATTTATGGTTACAGGAAACAGATCAGTAATTGCCCAATGATGGGGGAGAGAGTGGGAAGGGTTAAGAGAAAATGATTACAAAGGGGAACAAGGAAACTTGCCCTTGTGACAGATTTGTTCACTTTCTTGATTGTGGTGATAGCTTCGTGGTTTTTATACATATATTAAAACTTATCAAATCATGCACTTTAAAAATACATAGTTTGCATGTCAATAATACCTCACTAAGCTGTTTTTTAAAAAACTGAGCTTGAACATAAAGCAGGGTACCTGGTAATACAAACAATAAGAAGCTGTCATGTTAATTTGATGATTTTATAAGGCATTTGAAACATCTTCAGGAAATGCTATAATATCATTTAAAGATAAGATATTAATGTTTCACAGTAGTTATAGTCTTGGATCACCATCTAAGATACCATAAATAATGCTACCAACTAAAAGAGGCATGATGCTTTAGGCTGGAGAAAGAATACATATAAACACGACTACCCCACACAATTGAAATGAAAATGGAAAATGCTATAGAAAGAGGAAGGGCTTTCAGGCTGATTCGTCCTATCAATGCCAAAGCAGCTCATTTATTCAACACACATATACTGAGCTCAAGCAAATGTCCCAGCTTTGGAAGTAGTGATGAATTAGATGTGCTCCTTCCCTGTAAGGGGCTTCTAATCTGGTGGGAAAAGGGCAGAGACTACACATTCTTAACTTACTAGAGCACCATTTCATTAGGGTTTCGTGAGCAGTGGGTGCTCAGGGATGGGCAGCACAAAGGAGGAAGAGAGTAGGCCTGTCAATTCCAACCGATTCTGTTTATAACTCAGCAAAATACAAACCCATTACAACTACATGAATTGCCAGACCACCGAGATAAACAATTTTGCATCTGATTGTGACATGTAAGAAGGGGTATCAGGAAGAAACAACCCTTATATATTCCTCAGGGCAAGAGTGAAGATTTGGGACTTTCCCCCATACATTCTAAGGTCCTTAGGTTCTGTGCCTGCAAATTTAAATTTAGCTAGGTTACTTGAGGTGAGAAAGATTATAGAGTCTATAGAATCAATAGTAGTCTGAACAGGATTAATTTGGACTTGATATATCAATTCATTGAAATTCACCTAGTCAGACCAATGTTTAACAACTTGCAGGCAAACAACCAATTGATTTGCTATCTTATTCTTTTAATAATTGGCTGCTACTTGATGTAGCACAGTGGAAGAGAGCCTGAACATTTAATCAAAATCTCTAAGAAACAGCAAGGAGAGCAGATGAAGGACAAGTACTGGAATTAGGGACTCTCCCATCAAGCTGTATGGCTTTGGATAAGTTAATGAACCTCTCTGAAGCTTAAATCCTTCAATGGTAAAGGGGATAGTATGAACATTCACATTAAAGAGTTGATCTGAGGATTTAATGAGTTAATATGTATGGCTTTTAAGAACTCTCATGGTTCTTAAAAAGTAAAATTTATCATAATCATTATCATCATTAGTAGTTGTAGTAGTATGGCCCTTGTTGATTTTTCTGTTCTACAACTGTTACTTGCTTTTAGGTATATATCTATTGGTAGGACTTTTCATCCTTTTTGAATTTTCACTCACTTATCTGAAAGATGGCAATGATAAAAGCTGCCCTACCTCACCCAACAAAATAATTCAAGAAATAGTTGTATTTGATAGGTGTGTGCCAAAACCCAGGGCTATAGACATTGAGAAAATATGATTCCTGCCTTCAAGGAGTTTCAGTCAGTGAGGAAGATAAACAAGCAGAGAACTGAAATATAGGATTAGGTGCTCTATGATACTAGGTGATATGTAGGGCGTTCAGGACACACATAGGAAGAACTACTTATCTAGTAGTGGTGAAGACAGGCTTCTTGAAAGGAGTTGGACAAAAAGGGGATTTGGCAAAGAGAACAGATATCCAAAGATTCGAAGGCAAGAAACAGTTTGCGACTTAGTAATGAACAGTTCAGTCTAGCTGGAGGATAGAGTCCCAGGAAGGGAGAGATGAAAGAAACATTGATGAGGCAAATAGGAGGTAGACCAGAAGGCCTTCTTCAACCAAATGAAGGGGATTGAACATTATACTGAAGTATCCTGAATACAAAGCTGATATTATAAACAAATGTCATAATGTAAGTAAAAATATTATTTAATTATGAAGTTCTATTCAAATGTTGCTACTACCATCAGATACACAAGGATTCAGCTTGAGCTGTTGTACATAGGGTAGCCCACATTCTTACTTTCCCCATCTCCCTAGCACACACACACACACACACACAGAGTCATATGATTGCTTTCAATTATAAGTGTGAAGTTCCATGCCTGCTCATCCTCTGCAAGAAACTCAAGAAGACAACAAAATTAACTGTAGCTGCATGTGGCAATAGCTGCTGTCCATGATTCTACTTTTACCAATTTTATGTCATCAGAAGCCAAGAGCTCCCAGTGAGGCTTGTCTACTGTCTCCATGTTGGCTTTTTCTTGCAGTGAAGGGTGAAGCAGATTTGCCCAGAGCACTGAATGTGTTTTGCAAAAGGGAGAGAAGAGACATTTACTATTAAACAGAGACCATACTGCTTGTCTTTGGACCACACATGTCACTGTGTGGTGGTTAAGGGTCATATCTCAAAAGACCACAAGGAAATGGAATCACTGAAGCTCCTAAGTGAAAATAAATGATGCCAATCTTTAAAAGTATAAACACGCCCTTAGAAATTGTATTGTCAACCATCCATAAACCTTGCTGTCAGATGGGCATGCAGCCCCAAAGTCTTAGAGAGCTGCCAACTAATGGTTTATATTGTCACTAATACTTTATAAAAGGCTTGAACATTTAGTTAAGAAGTAAAAATGGGGGATTTGGGAAAGTGCCAGAGATGTAAACTGGGAAGGAGTCCATGGAAAAAGAAAGGAGTCTTTGATGAACGCCAGGGGTAAAGTATATGTGCAGCATTTTTAATTGTCCTTTGGGATTAAAATTAAGATTCCTGCATCTGAGCCCCTTCATATGAATTGTTTGAAGGAAAGCTGTAAATTTTTTTCATACAAAAGAAAGGAAAATATCCACCCAAGAAGCTGCAAAAAGGCAATTATTACAAGATAGTCATCCCATTATATGAGTTAACACCTATGCTTTCTATTCTGGAGAGAGAAAGAGCTGGAGAACTTGCCTAGTTAATCTTGGAAGAGACATTGTTTCCATCTTTTGGAATCTATCCTTTTATTGTAAGTTCTTTATGTTTTGGTAATCACAGTTACTTAGCTGATTTGTTTTAAAATGCTTATCTTTCTTAAGCTCCTAAGGCCACGTAAATATAAATTCATAACCATTTTTATGACTTTATTGAAACTAATCTATTTTTAGAATTATTAGAACAATTATTAGATAAGATTAGGCTATAATAATTAGAATTTCTTGAAACTCTAATTTATTTAAACCAATTCTAGCAGGTAGCCATAAATAAAACAAGCAAATAATGAATCAGGGACTAGAAAAATCAAACTTAAATATATATCATCATGTTCACAATCTATAGCACACAGCCAGAAACTAGCTAAGAAAACTAGCTTACAAAATATATGAATTCTTTTATAGAAAACTATCTGCTTCCAGTTCAAGAGGGTGTAATCTCAGGGAAAAACAGTTGTGGTAAGGGGATGTTAGAGAAATCTCTCTGCCAAAAATTTTTAGCATGGTCAGCATATCTGCAAGTAATTGATCAAATGCCTGGTTATTATTTTAAATTATTGAGTTTCTGCCTTAGAAAACTTCTGATTTATAAATTCTTCCCTTTTAAGGGCTATAAAGACATCCAGTGGTTTCTACAAAGTTAGGTTAAGGGCCCATTCAATGCAATTTTTCTCACAGTGGTCACATATACCCAAGCTTTGTAAGAGAAGAAATAGAATGAATATACTTATTCCTGTAAGTAAGAGAAAGAACCAACAAATATTAGCCAAATGCAAAATTGAAACAGCTGCTTCAGAGTGAATCCTAAAAAGTAGAATAGTAATCAGGATGTTATACTGTATTCCAACTTTCAAAATAACATTGATTATACTATACCTATACACATAGTGGTTCAAATGATCATGTTAGAGTAACACAACAAGCTTCTATTCATTACCATTCAGATGACAAGTTCTGCACTAAATGCAGTGAAAAATACAAACTTAGAAGACATGGGAGCTGTCCTTAAGAATATTTCCATTTCCATATAAAAATTTAAATATAAAACTGAAAAGAAAGTAATATAACCCAGTACATAAAGAGGGACTAAATTTTAAGCAATTATTAATTTATTCTACATTTGTTGAATGCTAGATCTGTGACAAGCACTATATCGGCACTGAGAGGATAAAGACTTAATACACTTATTCTCTGCCCTCAAGAAACTCATACTGTAATTTCCCAAATTCTTTTCCACGAATACTGAAATTTCCCAAACCACTTTGATCCCTGAAACCTTTTCTCCAAACATGTGTTCTTTGGAGCAATTTGGGAAATGCAGGTTTCAATCCATGCATGATGTAAAAATTCAAGTAAGAGAAATTTATCTAGGTTACAGTTTTGGGAATCTCTATGGATAATATGGATTTCAATTATGTCATTGGTTAATGGGAAAGTTTTTGACTGATGGATAGTGTCAAGACAGGGTACAGTTGAACAGTGAACACTACAGATGAGAGTTAAAATGACTGGCCCACCTGGACCACAGGTCCTTAGACAGAGTAGTAGTGGAAAACAAAATATAATAGGTGAGTTGAAATCAATACTGGAGGATCTAAAAATGCAAATTGAAGACCCTGTTCTTAGTTAAGAAAACGTCATGGAGAAAGTCATATTTTGAAAAAGTAACCCAGCCATGATATTTTAGTGTATCCTGCACATTAAAAAAATATTGAATATACTTGAAAGATAATAGGACCCAAAACTCTTTTCTTCAGCCCCCAAAATTGGGTCAAATGTAATTATGGTAAAAAGAGGTCCAAAAAGTTATCCTACATAAGAAAACACCCTAAAACTAGATTGAAACAAGGTACAAAGGTATGATATACTTCAATTTATTTCTCAATAACATAATCCGTTTGGGACATTAGAAAGTAGCCAATTATGAGAGCCAGAAGGAATTGGACTTTGATCTTTGAGGTCCCTTGAGAGAAAATATGATATAACCACTAAAAGTTCTTGAGTTGTAAACTTGGACTGATTAGGGTTAAACCCCATTAATGTCATTTACTATTTGTTTTATTTTCATCTAAAATATTTGCTTTGGTTATATACAGTCACATACTGAAGAAGGCTCTTAAAGCTTCATTTATGAGCTTCAAGAAATTATATATCTTTTTTTCCACTTTATTTAGTCTTTCAACAAATACTTTCTACACACTTACTAGACATCAAGAGCTGAGCTAGTCATTGAACAAGCTAGACACGATCACTGTCCCTGTGGAGCTCACTCATGTAAATACACAGAAATGTTATGAATGCACAGAAAACTAATAACACATCTCTTGCACCATTTTCATAGACCAGCTTACCATGGCAGATTGCTTATCTTCAATGGTGTGCTTTATACATGTCAGAATTTAACAGGATGCATTAATTTACTGTAGATAATAACTAGGCTTTTTAAAGAAAGCATAAAATCATCAATCTGTATTAAAAATCAGTCACTGACTTTTGTTGCCAGTCAAAGGATGTGATAATTATCACTAGCACTTAGAATGCCAGAGTTGGAATGGCTCAAAAAAGATCAAATCATCCTACCTCTCATTTTTAAAGGTGAAGAAACTAAAACCAAAAGAGGATAAATGACTTGTCTAAGACTCCACAAATTGTCAGAGGCCAAAAAGTGACATGAGTCAAGCTCCCTTTACAACAGCCCTCTGTTCTTTCCGATACACTAGAAAGGACACCAGTTGTTAAAGCAATGAAAAAACTGGAGATTTTGTGGTAGGCCTGTGATGTTTATGTACATCATTCTTTTATTTGGAGTACCACCCCACCCCCTTCATTGTATTCTTGCTCACCTCATGTGCTTTGGTTGAGGCTCTCATCTAGACTCTCTCTAGTCTCCTGAGTCACAAGTATAGTCATATCACACAGGCCTTATCACCCTAACAGAATGCTTCATCCTCTCTGGACACACTGATTGGTTTAAGGATGGCCATATACCCCAAGTTATGTCAGCCAGTGTCCATCCTAGGACTGTTGCCAGATTATCAGGAAAGATATTTCTCTTCTTCCGGAATCATGAACCATCTAGACTGAAGATCTAGAACTCTTGGAGTAATATTGTCTACCACAGAGATGAGCCTGCTGGAAGAGGCAGGGGAAGGAAGAAAAGGAGAACCAAGAGATAAAAATATAAAGCAAGAAATGTCATGACTAAGTCACCTGGATAGGCTTCTCCCAGATTTTTCTATAAAATTAGCGAGTCAATTTCTTTCCTTAATGTAGTTTGTTTTTTCACTCAACAAATGAAAAAAACAGTCTCTGAAAATAGTCATGATAAACATTTCCTTCCACAATATACCTGGTATTACCATCTCCAACTTGAAATGTCTTTGTAATACCATCAAAAAAAAAAAAAACCATAAACTTGTGGTAAAGAGCCTTAAAAATTTATAATAGGTATTATTAAGAATGACTTCTAATTAGCTATTTAAGAAATTTTGGAAGATAAAAGCACACTGTGGTGGGTAAGATTGTGGCTTTAGAGACATACAGACTTGGCTTATGTGTCAAATCCTGGCTTTGTCACTTATGGGCTGTGTGACTTTGGGCAAGTTGCTCAATCCCTTTATTTCTCATCTCATGAAGCCTGAAAAAGAAGTACATGAAATGGCTTCCACCATGCCTACCACATAGTAAGCACTAAATAAATGATAACTATTACTGATTATACTATTACTGCTTCTAATTGTTGTCAACATTGGTAGTAGTGGTATGTCTTAGTCTGTTCCAACTGCTATAACAGAACACCGAAGACTGAGTGGCTTACCAACAACATAAATTTATTTCTCACAATTCTGGAGGCTGCAAAGTCCAAGATCAAAGTGCCAGTAGACTCAGTGTCTAGTGAGAGCCCTCTTTTTTGTTTATAGAGGGCAATTTCTGGCTGTGTCTTCACATGGCAGCACAGTAGGGAAGCTCTCCAGAGTGTCTTTTATAAGGGCACTGATCCCATTCATCAGGGCTCCACAATCGTGACCTAATCACATTGTGGCTTAGGATCTCAACATGTAAATTTTGGGAAACACATGCATCCAGTCTACAACCTACTGCCCTTGCCCCTCCCCTGCCCAAATTCATGTCTTCACATGCAAAATACATTCATTACATCCCAATACCAGTATCAACACTTAAATACAAAATACAAAGTCTCATCTAAATATCCTCAAAATTAGATATGGGTAAGACTCAAGGTATAATTCATCTTGAGGCAAATTTCCCTCCAGCTGTGAGCTTGTGAAACCAAACAAGTTATGTGCTTCCAAATACAATGCTGGGACACACATAGGACAGACATTTCAATTCCAAAATGAGAAATAGGAGAGGCTAAATGGTACCAGTTCCCAAATAAGTGCAGACTACAAGGCAAGCTTTATCAGTTCTTAAGGCTCAGGAGTAATCTTCTTTGGCTCAGTGTTCTGTCCTCCAGGCCCACTGGGGTGGCAAAGTCAGTATAATGGCCCCACTGTGGCCCACAGTCCAGTATAATGGCCCCAACGTGACTTTCACCCCAGGCCCCAGCCCTGCAGTTCTCTGGGGCTGCCGTCATAGGCCTATTGTTCTGGTCAATTTCATCCTTTGAAACCTAAATGGAGGTAGTCCTGTGCCCCAGGCCTGGTCTATGCACTCTGCACACCAGTACCATGTGGATGCCATGGAAGTTTGCTCCCTGTATCCTCCAGAAGGGCAGCCACTATGGCCCAGACCACACTGGGGGCTGCTGGAACCACACCTGGAATGGCCAAAGAGCACAGTGCCAGAGTGTGAAGAGTGGAGCTTGTAATGTGAGGCAGTTCCAGGCAGCACATGCTGAGGTCTCAAAGGCACAGGCAACCCCTCCTTTGAAACCACTCTTCATCCTGGGTCCTTGCACTTTGGGCATGTAATGGGAGCAGCTTAATGATCACTGAATTGTCTTTGGGGTTATTCTTTCACTGTCTTGAAGAAAAGCTTCTAGCTTCTGTTAAGTTGTCTGATCTATATGTATCTCCTTATCAAACAGTGACTTGACAACACCACTAGTGTTCTCTCTTTTTTTATTCAGTATAATTAGACTGAGAATTTTCCAAATCTTTATGTTCTGCTTCCTTTTTTCTGAGTAATTCAATTTTTAAGCCATTTCTGTCTTTGCATTTCAATATAAGCAGTCAGGAGGAGCCAAGCTGCACCTTCAATACTTTGCTTAGAAATCAATTCAGCTAAATATTTAGTTTCATTGCTCACAACTTCTACCTTTCACAAAACGCCATCACATGAACACAATTCAATTATTTGCCCCTTTGTCACAAGGATTAATTTTTCTTCATTGTTGAATAACATGTTTCTCATTTCCATCTAATGTCTCATCAAAATGGCCTTTATCATCCACATCTCTACCTGCAATCTGTTCATGATTACTAAGATAATCTCTAAGATTAAGCCTTTCTCTACAGTTCTCCTATCTTTCTGAGCCATCACCAGAATCACATGTAGAAGTTCCTTCATGTGGCAATATTAGCTTTCTCTACCATGCATCTCAAAACTTAGTATGACTATGGTTAACAACAGCTTATTCCATATTTCAGAAATATATAGAAGAGAAGATTCAGAATGTTCCCAACACAAAGAAATGATAGTTATTTGAGGTGATGGATATCCCAAGTACCCTCATTTGACCATTACACGCTGTATGCATGAATCAAAATATTACATGCATTACATAAACATGTATAATCATGTTTCCACACACACACACACACAGAAATTTCCATCCTCTCCCCATTACCCTATTCCAAAGCCACTTGTACATTTTTAGGTATTTGTTACAGCAGCAGCCCTACCTCTTCATACTAATTTCTTTCTTAGTTTATTCAGATCAGTATAACAAAATACCATAGACTAAGTAACTTATCAATAACAGAAATGTATTTCTCATCATCCCAGAGGCCAGGAAATCTAAGATCAAGGCACCAGCAGATTTAGTGTCTGGTGAAGGCTCACTTCCTGGTTCATAGATGGTCATGGCCTCATCCTCATGTGGCCACTGTGTGGAAGGCTTCATGATGGCTTCCATTGTGAGGAAGCTCTCCAGTCTCTTTTATAAAAGCACTAATCCAACTCATAAGGGCTCTTCCCCCATGACCTAAACATCAACCAAAGTCCCCACTTCTTGATACCATCACATTGAGGATTAGCATTTCAACATATGAATTTGGGATGGGGAGTGGAAACAAACATTCAGACTATAGCATA
The DNA here is from genome assembly GCF_000001405.40 of Homo sapiens. Taxonomy (NCBI): domain Eukaryota; kingdom Metazoa; phylum Chordata; class Mammalia; order Primates; family Hominidae; genus Homo; species Homo sapiens. The sequence continues at coordinate 155,436,273 of NC_000005.10, read as the reverse complement.
GTGGTAGGTACCAACTACATGCAATTACTCTACTGAGCATTTGGGATGTAAAATGAAATAAGGTACAATTCTTGCTCTTCAAAGAGCTAATAACCCTTTTAGAACATTGACAGGTGTTGGCTAATATCCAGAATCTACAATGAACTCAAACAAATTTACAAGAAAAAAACAAACAACCCCATCAAAAAGTGGGCGAAGGACATGAACAGACACTTCTCAAAAGAAGACATTTATGCAGCCAAAAGACACATGAAAAAATGCTCATCATCACTGGCCATCAGAGAAATGCAAATCAAAACCACAATGAGATACCATCTCACACCAGTTAGAATGGCAATCATTAAAAAGTCAGGAAACAACAGGTGCTGGAGAGGATGTGGAGAAATAGGAACACTTTTACACTGTTGGTGGGACTGTAAACTAGTTGAACCCTTATGGAAGTCAGTGTGGTGATTCCTCAGGGATCTAGAACTAGAAATACCATTTGACCCAGCCATCCCATTACTGGGTATATACCCAAAGGACTATAAATCATGCTGCTATAAAGACACATGCACACATATGTTTATTGCGGCACTATTCACAATAGCAAAGACTTGGAACCAACCCAAATGTCCAACAATGATAGACTGGATTAAGAAAATGTGGCACATATACACAATGGAGTACTATGCAGCCATAAAAAATGATGAGTTCATGTCCTTTGTAGGGACATGGATGAAATTGGAAATCATCATTCTCAGTAAACTATCGCAAGGACAAAAAACCAAACACCGCATGTTCTCACTCATAGGTGGGAATTGAACAATGAGAACACATGGACACAGGAAGGGGAACATCACACTCTGGGGACTGTTGTGGGGTGGGGGGAGGGGGGAAGGATAGCATTAGGAAATATACCTAATGCTAAATGACGAGTGAATGGGTGCAGCACACCAGCGTGGCACATGTATACATATGTAACTAACCTGCACATTGTGTACATGTACCCTAAAACTTAAAGTATAATAATAATAAAATAAAATTTTAAAAAAAGAACATTGACAGGTGTCAATAAAGAATATCTGCCACAAACATTCTGGAGTTTGGGGATGACAGAGATAACCATGAACTTCAGTGGTTGGGGAAAATTCAATTGTCTGAAAATTAAATTGCAATTAAAATGTATTTTTGTTTCTATTTTTGCCAGCAAACACATTATATAGTAATTTAAATGTATTTCTGTTTCAATTTTGCCAGCAAACATACACTAAAGCTAAAGTAAAAATAAGGAAAATAAAAAGTGAAAGAAATCTAAATGATGAGTTAGCCAAGTTCCCCATTTTACAAATTAAGAAAAGGAAGTCGCTAAAGAGAAGAGGCTTGCCCAGATCACACAGCTGGCCACTGCAAAAATGAGGGTAAGAAATCAGTTTGAGGCATATCATGTTGTGGCTTCTCAGTTTTGAGCCTTCTGAAGTTTAAGGCTTCTCTATTTTCCCTCTGAATCGAGTAGCTAATCCATGTCATATGCAACTTACTATACAGCAACCTCCTTCTCAAATCTGTCAGCTTGAGGACTGTATCACTTCCTGTGATCTCTGTTTTTGTCATTAGTTAATTCCCTAAATTGACCTGCATTCAACATCTTTATTGAAGTCATTTATTTTAAAAGGTTCAATTGGCAGTTTGTTGAAAGACACATCATTTTTCTCATGATAGTATCAGCTTCACTCTACAAATTGTTTTTCTCTTAAGCAGGATCATGAACAGGAACTGAAATTGTTCTCTTGTTTTGATAATGATCTTGCTTCCTTTGGAGAGGATCTGCTCTAAGCAGCAGAGTCTAGCACCCTTGGACCGAGATTCCAAATTCCTGCCTGCCTAGAGAGTTCCACAGACTTGAAACAGAATTCCTAGTGCCAGACTAGCATCTCTGCCTAGGGGATAACCATGCTCTGATTTAACTTGCAACTTTTTTCTGATGCTGAAAACCCTGCTAGTTCTAAAATTTTAAGTGCTTACTCAACCTATTTCCATGGTTTAGAGTTTTAGAAGAATAAACATAAACGCGGAATTTCTTTTCTGGCCTCTCAAAGAGTGATACATCAGAAACATAAAGTTTGAAATGCTTTTTAGGGTACTTTATCTCCCCAATCCAATCCCACTTTACATTTATAGGGATTTGTTCTAGAAAGCCAAACCATCGAGGCACAGATTTGAATTCATTTTCTGAAACTTCTCAGATTTTCCATCCTTGCTGACAAATCACAAGAAATTTTACATTTTCCCCATTCTTTGATAGCCTCCTGGCTCTCTGTCGTTCTATCACCAGCTGGATTATAGTCCACTAATAGTGGTGGATTCCAAAGAGACAGAAGGATGTTTTCAATCCATTTGTTATTATAATGCAAGTGAATCACTCCATAAGCCTTGTTAAAACCTCATTTAATCCAAAACAAAATAGAGGTACCAAGACACTTAAGCAGGAACATGGTAATATCAACATCCATCAAAGCAGAAATAAGTGGAAGGAGGCCTAGAAAAGTGGTTCTGGAAGGCTGGTGACCATCCCAGGATGACTCAGAGCTATCCTTTTAACTTCTTAGCCTTTGATTCCATGTGGTTTAACCCTCACTGTATCATAAATGGAAAGCCTTGAATACTTGTTCTCAAATTTTTGGGTACAAGTATGTAGAAAAACTTTGACTCAGAGTGTGTAGCCAAAACACTAGGAAAAATGAATTAAAGAACAGCAGTTTGATCAGGGATCTTAGAGATCATCTGTTAACAATACCATCACTTTACAGATGTGCAAACTGAAGCGCAGAGTGGAGAAGTGAGCAGGGCTCTCTCCAAAGAGTCTTTTAAAATAGACTTAAGGTCTTATGATATGAGATTTACCAATACTCATTATTTTAGTCTTGGCCCTGTCACTTATTAACTGCATGACCCTCTCCATGCCTCAGTTTTCTCATCTGCAAAATAGGGATAGCAATAATGGTGATGAACAACCTCATGATGTGTTGTAAGGATTAAATAAAATATACACATGAAATGCTAATCACATAGTAAGCATTTGAAAAATAATAGGCATCAGTCTTTATTTATGATGTGAAATTTTAGTATAACACACGTGGGGAAATAGGTCAATCCAAAGGCTCCTTTCCCCCTCATCCTTTTTCTCAGTCATTTCCCTCTCTTTCATTCAAAGATATGTCCTACAAGCACAAAATGTGGAGTCAGGAGACCTACTGTTTAGTCTCAGCTTTGCCATACTCTATGTTGGTGACCTTGGGCAAGTCAATTTACCAATCTGGGCCTCAGTCTCCTCATTCATAAGAAGGGAAAGTAGAATCAGGTGGTGGCTATAGTACTAACCAACACGAGTATTAAATCAATTCTAGAATTTAGACTACTGACCAACTGCCCAGGCCATTTCCCTGGATTCCTGGTCAATGAGAAAATCTTCTGTGATGCTTAGCCCCACTGATAGTTTCTCAGGGACTGGGAGAAGGTGAAGCTCTAAGCTCAGCTCTCCATTCACTTTCCAGGAGTTACTCTAAAAACCCCCAATAACTCTCTGTGATTTGCTAAAGCCTGGAAGACCCCATCTCTCTCAAACTCTGTCCTCCACCTGCCTGCTATGGGCCTTCACCAATCCCCCATTTCTCTCCTCAGCCTCCCTAACCCCAAGGATTCTGAGCTACTTTCAAGGGAACCTAGTTATTAGGCTGCTCTTGGATTGCTATAAAGAAATACCTGAGGCTGGGTAATTTATAAAGAAAAGAGGTTAATTGGCTCACAGTTGTGCAGGCTGTACAGGAAGCATGATGCCAGCATCCTCTTGGCTTCTGGTGAGGTCTCGGGGAGCTTTTACTCATGGCAGGAGGCAACATCAGAGCAGGCACATCACATGGTGAGAGAGGAAGCAAGAGAGAGGAAGAAAAGGAAGCCCCAAGCTTTTTTAAACAACTAGATCTTGTCCTAACTAACTTAGTGAGAACTCACTTATCACCAAAGGGATGGTGCTTAACCATTCATGAGGGATCTGTTCCCATGAGCCAGTCACCACCCAATAAGGCCCCATTTCCAACATGGGGAATCACATTTCAACATGAGATTTGGAGAAGACAAATATCCAAACTGTATTACCTAGTTATGAGGGAATAAAAGCGATGTGGCTGAAGAGTTCCATAGTAGTTGCACTAGAAAATTTTCACTTTCTAAGTTTTTTGTTTTCAACAAATGCTTATCACCAAAGAGACAGAGAGAACTCTGGGAATGAAACCCAGAGCAGTCATGTCTATAAGACAGCGTCTGTAGCCCTAACTAGATTTTCTAGATTTGTTTAATGCCTGTAGAGGGTTTTTTTAAATATGCAAAGTGTTGTTCTAAGAGCGTCACCTAGAGAGCTTCACCTAGTGTATCTTTATCACAATCCTAGGAGGCAGGTGCTTTATTATGGGTATTTTACAAATGAGAAAATTGAGACACAACTCTACCATGATCAAGTTGGTGATTTTCCTGGCCACTCCAACTAAGATTTAATATGCTTGCCATATTTATCATCTGTGGTTTTGATGCAGGTTGCTTTTTCTTTTTAAGGAGAATTTGCTTACTCCATTACAAGTTTTAATTGAGCCTTCTTCATACTACAGAAATACCTGCTGTATAGATAGCAGATGCATAAAATCATTAAATATTATTTAAAACTCTCAACAAGAATATTTGTTTTTCCAACAGTTCTTCCCTGACATGGTTATTACTGACAATCCAGACTTATGCATGTTAAATTAAATTGACCTGGCACGTGCTGCTAATAACAATCTGAGTAATCTTTCATTGCCCAATTTCACATCCTCAGATGAAATTATACACTTGGGGGTAAGAAATAGGAAACAATTGTCATTCTTGCCAGCAACTTGAGATTGTTTTAATATGAGGACTGCCTTTTCTTCCAAATGTCTCTTTTTAAATAAATAATCCTTTAAATTGAAGTGCTTCCATTTCTATATTAGTAAGGGTTCTTTAGAGAAATAGAACCACTAGGAGATAGATGGATGGATGGATGGATGGATAGATAGATAGATGATATAGATTTATTCTAAGAAATTGGCCTATGTAATTATGGAGGCTGAAAAGTCCCATGATCTTCCATCTGTAAGCTGAGCACCCAGGAAAGATGGAGGTGAAGTTCATTCTGAGTCTAAAGGTCTGAGAACCAGGAGTGCCAACGGTGTAAGTTCTAGTCTGAGGGCAGAAGAAGACCAATGTCCCAGCTCAACAGTAGGGCAGAGGAAACAAATTCTCCCTTCCACCATCGTTTTGTTCTGTTCAGGCCTTCAAGGGATTTGATGAGGCCCACCCGCACTGGGGAGAACAATCTGCCTTACTCAGTCTACTGATTCAAATGCCAATCTCATCTGGAAGCACCCTCACAAACTAAACCCAGAAATAATGTTCAACCAATGTATTAGTCTGTTTTCATGCTGCTGATAAAGACATATTTGAGACGGCAATTTACAAAAGAAAGAGGTTTATTGGACTTACAGTTCCACGTGACTGGGGAGGCCTCACAATCATGGCAGAAGGTGAAAGGCACACTCACATGGCAGCAGACAAGAGAAGAGAGATTGTGCAGGGAAACTCCTCTTTTTAAAACCATCAGATCTCATGAGAATCATTCACTATCACGAGAACAGCGCAGGAAACACCCACCCCCATAATTCAATCGCCTCCCACCGGGTTCCTCCCATGGCAAGTGGGAATTGTGGGAGTTACCATTCAAGATGAGATCTGGGTGGGGACACAACCAAACCATGTCAACCAATTATCTGGGCACCCCACACTCTATTCAACTTGACACATAAAATTAACCATCACAATTCCTCTAAGTTAAATGACACTGTCTAGAAATCAAATTACGCAACATTAGGAAGTGGTAAAAAAAAATTGTGAAAGTGGTAAAAAGTGGTAAAAAATTGACTATTCTTTTGGTCATAAAAATTTCCACATATTCATTTTTCTTCTATTCATATGTAAAACTCTTTAAGGCCAGGAATCATGTTATTCAAACTTGTGTTCCCCTTAAAACTTAGACTGTTTCTTAGAACAGAGGAGATACAGTAAAACTAAGTTGGAGAAAAAAATATAAAGTCATTGAACACTTGAAGTGAATTATGGGATCAGTTGATTTACACTAAAATGTAACTCCTAAGCAAAAGCACTTATTGTTTAGAGCACCCACTATGTGCAATTTCAGCATTTAATGGCTAAAGTATCCATTGAAATGAGTGTTATTCTTCCCAGAGATGTTCACATGGATCTGCAGCTCAGGCCAAATTAATAGCAATTGTGGCCAACATCTTAATTTTTCCCTTGCTAAATTACTATGGAAATGAATTTTAGCAACTTAATCCACCCAGCTTAAACTAATTCTTCATTAAAGCATAACTTTCTCCCATAGGGAAACTTCTAAATCCAGCAGATAGAAGCATGAACACCTCCGGTTTGTTTTAATTATTTTTCTTAAATGAGAAGCTGAGCACATTCTGCCAAGGATTAAATCACCTCAGGTCTCACAAATTTGGTATTCTCAAACTAAATCCATGTTCTCATGTTGCAATTCTTTTGCAACTAGAAGAAAACCACTTCATGCCACTATGGAAAAAGTATTTAAATGACCCAGGAAGGTGGCAAAAGCTTAGGCAAGTCTATATCTCCTAACATTTCTCCCACATTCAATGTTAATATCCTAAAAGGCTGTGTATTATATTTCTCTTTCAACCTCTAATAGGCTTTTCTTGCCTGATTTCAAATAAGCAAGAAATTATTTTATAAAGTTAAAATACTCAAGAGAATGAGAAGACAAATCACAGGTTGGGAGAAAATATTTGCAGAACACATACCTGATAAAGGACTGTTATCCAAAGTATATTAAGAACTCTTAAAACTCAACAATAAGAAAATAAACAATACAATTTAAAAAATGAACCAAAGATCTAAACAGACATTTTACCAAAGAAGATATATGATGACAAACAGGTATATGAAAAGATGCTCTACATTATATGTTATCAGGAAAATGCAAATTCAGATAACAATGATTTATTATTATTCACCTATTAGAATGGCCCAGATCCAGAAGGCTGACAGCACCAAGTGCTGGTGAGGGCGTGAAGCCACAGGAACTTTCATTCATTGCTGATGGGAATGCAAATTAGTAGTCATTTTAGAAGACAGTTTGGCAGTTCCTTACAAAACTAAACATACTCTAACCATATGATCCACTAATCTCACTCCTTGATATTTACTCAAAGGAGTTTAAACCTGTGTCACAGAGAAACCTGCACACAGATGTTTACATCAGCTTTATTTATAATTTCCAAAGCTTGGAAGCAACCAAGATGTCTTTCAGTAGACGAATAGATAAACTGCAGTTCATCCTTATAATGGAATATTATTCAGCATTAGAAAGAAATTAGCTATCAAGCCCAAAAAAGATGTGAAGTAAACTTAAATACATATTACTAAGTGAAAGAGGCCAATCTGAAAAGACTACATGCTGTATGACTCCAATTATGTGACATTCTGGAGAAGGCAAAACTATGGAGACATTAAAAAGATCAGTGGTTGTCAGGGGTTGCGAGGAGGGAGGGATGAATAGGTGGAGCACAGAGGATTTTTAAGGCAGCAAAAATACTCTGTATGATATATAATTGTAGACACATGTCATTATACATCTGTCAGAATCCACAGAACATACAACACCAAGAGTGACCCCTAATGCAAACTATGGACTCTGGGTGATTATGGCGTGTCAATGCAGGTTCATTAACTATAACCAACGGACCACTCTGGTGAAGGATGTTCACAATGAGGGAGGCTATGCAAGTGTGAGGGCAGGGGGTATATAGAAACTCCCTGTAATTTCCTCTGAATTTTGCTGCAAACCTAAAACTGCTTTAATAAAATAAAGTCTATTTTTTAAAAAGTTAAAACACTGGCTTAACATCAGAATCTACTCTCATAAGGTGGATCCAAGTTTTTCTATTTTTGTTTAATATATCTGCTTATTATTAATCATAAAACATTTTATAACATTCATTACCCTTTTGAAAATAACAATTTAAATGGATTTATTTAAAGTGTCTGTTCTTTGACTCTAAAATTCCACTTGAAGATATCAGTCCCACGGAGATGTTTTACATATGCACAAGAAATGTATAGAAGGTGTTCACTGCGACATTGACTATAATTTTAAAAAATTTAAGCAAACAAAATGTCCATCAGTGGCAGAATACCTAAATAAAATACATTACATTAATACTATCATATAATGTGGAATGAAGTGAAACTATGTGATGTAATATGACATCATATTCAAGGCACATTTTGTGATAGAAAAAAGTGTCACAATTCAGCCTCATATGTGTAAGGAACCACCTGCCTTGCACTAAGCAAATCAGCATAGTTTGGTAGGTACCCATATATATGCAAATGAATGGAAAAAGCTTTAGAAAGATAAACCCCAGCATTAGCAAGTTTTTGCCTCTGGAAAGAGAAGTAGAATTAAGAAGAGGATATACCAAGGCAGACTTTAATTTTATTTCATTGTTAGTAGTTTTTATAAGAAGATATTCATGTACTACTAATATAATTATAAACAAAGTTTAAAGGCTTTATAATTCAACTTACTTTGCCAGGAATACCTTAAAATCTACAATGCTGAATGTAGCCCTAGTGTCCAGAATGAGGTGACACCAGGTCTGAACTATAACTTTATAGCAGCATCAGAAAGATAGAAAAACTGGGCTGGGAGGAAAATGCTGTTATTAAAATACTAAAAAATTTAATAACCACAATGAGAACACTGACCTCTAATAAAGCATATGTCTCATGATTGAATTATTCTACTTTTACATGTGTGGTCAAGCGTGAAATTTTGCTTTTAATTTACTTTACAAGACCTTCTCCATATCCTTCTCCCCAACTACACAGTGTATTATTAAGGCAATAAAATAAATCAAATTCCACATAATTCAGCATCTGAGGCACACCTGAAAAGCCAATTCAACACAGAAGATTTTGAGAATGGTGGTATGAGAAACAGTCTTCACACCTCTGAGACTCAACATAGGCACCCAATCAAAAAAGCAATCCTTTTCTTCAAAGCTCAGAAACAAGGTTTGGACTGTATTTCCCATTAAATTTCTAAAATGTCACATCAACCACAGAATGCAGACATTCTGTCATATTTTTCTTCACTGTGAAATATTTTAACGTGATTTGATGGGTACCTGCTTTGAGATTTCAGCTAATGCTATTATAATTCTTGTAGGCAAATGATACCGGAATAAGGGGCAACTTCTTGGAACTATGCAGTTCAATTACTGTTCAGTCACGGATCTAGATTAAATGGCATAGGCTATATTAGAACAAGCTTTGAATATACCCTGGAGTCCATTGTACTCTCAACTTTTCAGATTCTTATATGAGAGCGTGCAATATCATTTATACAAAATCACTTTGCATCAATTCAGAGTAGATACCCAAAGAATCATGCGCTTCTACAGACGTGAGCTTTAAAGGAACGAATCAAATGATGTCTTACTCATTTGATGACCTTTTAAACTTTAGAAGAAATAAGTTTGATGTACTTGGATAAAATCAAACTCAGGGAATTCTGTGTTTTGTATTCAAAACTATGTTTCTCAAACAGGGGCATTTTGCCTCCCAGGGAATATTTGACAATGTCTAGATACATTTTTAGCTGTCACAAATCAAGGGGCAAATTCCTACTGGCATCTAGTGGGTAGACATCAAGGATGCTAAACATCCTACAATGTACATGACTATCTTTACAACAAAGAATTATTTGACCCAAATTGTCGATAGTGTCAAGGTTCTTTCAGAAACAAGTTTCTTCCAAATTAATTGTAATTTTTCCTTCCACTGCACAAGCAAATTTCTTCCAAGAGTTGACTATAGTCTCTGTCTTTGTCTTTTCACCTTCCACTCACACCACATCCCACCCCAATCTGGACTCTGCACCCCTCACTAACAAAACAACCCTCACTGAGGTCACTAGTGAGCTCCTATCAACCAATCCAATGAATACTTATTTGGTTTGACCTCTTTCTTCAAAGATTCTCTCCTCTTGCTTCCAAGAACCCTCCATTCCCCTGGTTTGCCTCCCCTCTTCCTTCACTGTCTCATTTGTATGTTTATCCTTCTTTATGTAGCCATTACATGTTGGATTCCTCCACTCAGTTTTAGGCCCTCCCTCTCCTTAACTTTTTTCGAGGTAATTGTATTAGTTTCCTATTGCTGCTGTAACAAATATTCACAAACTTAATAGCTTAAAACGACACCGATATATGATCTCACAATTCTGGAGATCAGAATTCTGAAATGGGTCTCACTGTGCTAGGCTAAAATCAAGGTTTCAAGGGGGTTGTGTTCCTTTTGGGAGACTCTAGGGAAAAATCTATTTCTTGTATTCTCCAGGTTCTAGAGCTGCCCCTATTCTTGGCTAAGGACTCCCTTCCATTTTACAAGCCAGTAATGACTGGTTAAGTTTTTGTCACATTGCCTCACTCTAATACTGACTCTCCCATATTTAAGGACACTTGTGATTACACTGTGACCACTCAGATAATCCAGGATAATCTCCCTACTTTACAGTCAGCTGAATAGCAATGTTAATTCCATCAGCAATCTGAATTCCCCTTTCCCAAACAGAATAACATATTCCTGGGTTCTGATAATTAGGATATGAACATCTTTGGGAGGCTATTGTTCTATCTACCACAGTAATTTACCTTCAATTACTATGCATATGTACACAGGTGACTCCTAATTTTTTATTTTGTGTTTCTAGTCTAGACTTCTCTTCTAAACCATACACCCACATACCCAAGAGTTTATGGGAGAACTATGGTTCCTAACCAAACTCATAGGCTTCCTCCCTAAAGACGATCCTTTGCCAGTGTTCCCTGATTTAGTGAACAGCCTCATCAGTCATTGTTATGCAAGCTAGAAATGTGGAAATTGATCATCCCTAATAGCCCCTTTTCCTTTCCCTCCATTTCCAATCCTTTCATTCTTCATATGGCAGAATGATCCTTTTGGAACTCAAATCTGATTCTGTCATCCTCCTGCTTAAATTCTGTAATGGCTTCCTGTTTAGGGATGGAAACAAAACACTTGAATTTGGATGACAGGCTAATACAGTCTGGCCTCTTCTCTCCAGCCTCACACAGCACTGTACCATATTGCTCTCCTCCTAGCCTGAGAAAACACCAGCCTCCTTCCTCTCCTCACGCAGCCTTGATACACACTGTTCTCTGGTGAGACTGTTTCTGTCCCTTCTCTTTTGCCATATTTAACTTCTGTTCACGCTTAGCTCACAACTTAACCACCACCTCTTTAGGGAAGCCTTCCCTGACCTCCCTTGCTCAAGCCTTAAAGCACCATGTGCCTGTCTTTTGTAACATTTAGCATAGATACAATTTTAAATTTCCTTGTGAGATTGTTTGATTCATAAATAGCCCTCTTCCCTGTTTGGTTGTATGTTCCATGAGAACAGGGACAGTGTCTGTACTCGCCACTGAAACCCAGTGCCTAGTCTAGGTCCTGGCTCAAGGTTGGCGCCCAATAACTATTTGTTAAATTGATGCATAAGTGAATGAACCAGTGAGTAGGATGTGTACTGCTATACTAGTCAGAGCAATGATCACCTAGTCATCTTGCTTGTTCCTTCAACAAAGTTTTACTGGACGTCTCTTTGTTTCAAATACGAGCAAGCTATATTGCTCTATTTCATTTACTAGTCAGAATCTCTGAGAGTCATAAAACAGTATAATAATTGTACTGAAAGGTCAAGAAGAAAGGAAAATGCTATTTTGACATCCCTTGATTTCTTGTCTAGATTTTGTTTTCTTCCCCTGAGAAGAATTTGGACTCCTCTACAGGAATGTGGCTTGACTCCCTGTCTCAGCATCATTGGTAACAATTCTCAAAGCTGCCGATGGCAGTTGTGGACACTCATTGGAGATGACAGCCGACTTCAACATGGCATTGACTTGCATGATGTTTTTCAAATGCTTAAGGAGTTCAGTCACGTGTCAGAGCTGCTCATGTTAAATGATCTATTAGGTGCCATGATCTTCAGAAAGGTCATCTGTCACATCATAGGCCGGATGTGTCACCCTATTTAATGGAATATGAAAGCAAACTCCAAAACTAACCAGACGGAAATTGGCATATATCACTGCTGCCTGATCAAAAGCTGAGGGTCTCAGTTTATACCCAGTCACATAAATGAAAGCTCCCTACCTTAACCAGTACGTAAATGTGTAACAGTTAAAGACCTTGTAACTTAATAGCAATTGAATTTTAATAGTTATAGTATTCTTCACTTAATCTTATAATGAGTATTGTTATAATTAAAATAAATGAAAACCTTTTTTTTTGCTTCATAATAAAAACTTGTGGGAGGAGAAAATGAAAATGTAAAACTGAATTTGCTAAACAGGAAATATTTTAATCATGAAGTTCAATAATTCATTTGCTGATATAACTACATGACAATTGTGGAGATCTTGGGAGATCCCTAAGTTGGCTGAAGGCAATGTCATACATAGCAAGATCAAACTCAAAGGAAAACTCCCTGCATCAATTAAATTGAAATCAAATTTAAGAAGTGTTCCTGAAGAGGATGAATATAGCATTCTGTAGGAGAGCCTCAACTAGTTGCCACTAGGCTAACTAGCAATGGCAATTGTAAAACTTAATTCTAGGGAAAAATAATACAATTCATGTGTTTTTGCTAGAACTTGTGTGTACGTATTATATGTGATATAATTTGATATCACAAAAATATCAGCTGAGTTCACTATGAGTCTTGATCCTAAGATATTTAAAAGTAAAAGAGAAATGTGTGCTTCAGACTGACATTTTGCTATTGATATGTATAATCTTTAGGTTTCTCTTTTTGTGTTTTTTCCCTTGTTATAGTCGAAGTAGTCATACCGATAATCTAGAAGACTGTTAAGATGATTTTGAGATATAAGCTGCATCCTTCAGAGAACTCACAGGTGTGTAAAATTTTTTAAATGGACTAGGACCTTGTAGAGTTTCAAATCCTCTTCCCTTTCAGACAAGCACTTGTACACAAAGCTGCTGAGTTATCTCTCCAAAACACACAGTTGCTGATAGAGCAGGCTGGGACGACAGCCTCCACACTTAGAGCTCTGTGCCTTTCCGGGATATCATGATGACTCCCACAGCACTAAATTTTTTCTGACATGATTAGTCTCTGTAGTCTTTTTCTCAAGTGGCATGACTGCCTTCTTAGACTTAGAAGAGACATTAAAAGACCAAAAGAACACAAACCATCAAGAAGAACTGATAAATTGACAACACTGTAATTTAGAGGTTTGGCACAACAAAGGACACCATAAACAAAATGAACAATGAGCTCCAGGTAAGGGGAAGACATTAGGATTGGACAACTGAAAAGTGATTCATCTCTAAGAGCTCCTATAATTCAACAAGAAAAAAGATTACCTGAAAACAAACCAAAAACATGGGCAAAGAATATGAGGCAGCAATTCATAGACCAAGACACCCAAATGGATAATAGATGAATGAAAAGTTTCTTGACCACACTGGTAGAAAGTTATAAATTAAAACAGCAATGAGATAGCATCAAATTGACAAAAATGTTAAAGTCTGACAATACTGAGTCCTGGTCATGATGTAAAGAACTACCATACACTGCTGATAAGGGTTTAAGTTGGTACAATCACTTTGGACAACCACTGACAATAACTAGTAAAGTTGAAAATGTGTATACTGTAAAATCCAGCAAAGCATTCTCCTAGATCAGTTGTTCTCAACAGGAGGGAAGTGGGGTCAGGGAGGAGTTGTGGTTCTTTACTCAGGAGTCATTTAGCAAAGCCTGAAGACCATTTTGGTTGTCACAGCTGAGGTGAGGGGCAAGGACACGACTGGTATCTAGTGGATAGAGGCTAGAGATCTGTCCTACAATGCACAGGTCACCTCTACCCCCCAAAGAATTATCTGGCTCAAAATATCAATAATGCTGAGCTGGGAAACCATCTATCGTGAGCTGAATGGCATCCTTCAAAAGTTACGTCCACCTGGAACCAGTGAATGTGACCATATTTTGGAAAAGAGTTTATGCAGATGTGAATAATTTAAGGATCTCAAGATGAGATAATCCTGAATTATGCAGGTGAGTCCTAAATCTAGTGACAAGTGTCCTCATAAGAAGAGAAACAGACAGAAGAGAGACACAGAAGAACACCATGTGAAGACAGAGGCAGAGACTGGAGCAATGTGCAGCCACAGGTCCGGGAATATGCCAGTGGCAACCAGAAGCTGGAAGAGGCAAGACATGGGACCTCCCCAGGAGCCTCTAGAGGAAGTGTCCAATACCTTTACTTCAGGTTTTTGACCTTCAGAAATGTGACAGAAAAAAATCTGTGTTGTTTTAGGCCACCTTTTCTTTTTTTCTTTTAGTGTGTGGTAATTAGTTTCCAGCAGCTCTAGGAAACTAATATACTGTCTTAGGCATAGAGGTTTCTTATAAACTTTATTATTATTTCTTGTAAGAGAAAAGCTTGCATATGTAAGCAAGTAAAAAGGTACAAAGTTGGTCACTGAAGTGTCGTTCATTAAAACAAAATATCTGAAACAATCTGAATTTCTATCAGGATCATCCAGCAATCTTTCTCCTGAAGGAGATGAATTTACCACGTTGGAAAAGCATCTGCACCCCCACCTTCATTGTGCCATTATTCACAATAGCCCAGATATGGAAACAACCTAAGTGTCCACTGACAAATGACTGGATACATATATAATTCAATCAAAAAAGTGATTTTGCCATTTGCCACAACACAGACCTGGAGGACACTATGCTAAGTGAAATAAGCCAGACACATAAAGGAAACTAATTTTGCATATTCCTCAAATGTGGAATCTTAAAAAAAAGAAAAAGAAAGAAAGAGATGGAGAAATATGCAGAGATAGAGAACAAAACAGTGGTTACCAGGGGTGTGGGATAAGGGAAGTGAAAATGGGGAGGTACAGTTCAAAGGATACAGAGTAGCACATACGTAGTCATGAGGACTACAGCTAATAAAATTGTATTGCATTGGGGATTTGTGTTAAATGAGTAGATTGTAGCTGCTCTTGTCATATAAGAGCATGGGAGCTGATTAATGTGTTCATTTTCTTTACTATACTAACCATTTTACTACCACACATATATCCCACAGCATCATGTAGTAAACTTCAAATACACACAATAAAATTTATGTTAAAGTAGATAAAATAAAAAACAGGAAAACTTATTGGGAGATGTTAGTCAAAGGGTACAAAGGTTCAGTAATACAGAATGAGTAAGTTCTAAAGAACTAATATACATCATGGTGACTGTAGTTGGTAATGCTGTATTGCATACTTGAAATGTGCTAAGAAAGTAGATCTTACATGTTCTCACCCCAAAAAAAGGTAACTGTGGATATGATAATTAGATTGATTATGGTAATCACTTCACAATGTATGGCAAACAAAACAAAATAAAATATCACTTTGTATACCTTAAATATATACAATTCTTATTTGTCAAGTATACCTCCATAAATTGGCATAAGGGAAGAATAAAATATATCGAGTCTTTGTAGAAAAGGATAATTTATAATTTGGAATTTTTATTCCTGAATAAAGAATATCAAAATTTGTTTTAAAAAGCGGAAACCTGAAAAATATACTGAAGTATGTTCACTTAATGCCTTACAGCAATGAAAATGAATTAGAGCTATTTGTATCAGCATGCATTAATTTGAAAAATATAATATTGAGAGAATAAAAGCCAGTTCCACAGGCTGTAAGTGGCATAATATTATTTACATAAAAATTTTAAAACTGAAAATATTATATAATTTATGGATATCTGAATATCTAAATTCATGGCAAAGGTATAACATGTGGG
The DNA here is from genome assembly GCF_000001405.40 of Homo sapiens. Classification (NCBI taxonomy): domain Eukaryota; kingdom Metazoa; phylum Chordata; class Mammalia; order Primates; family Hominidae; genus Homo; species Homo sapiens. The sequence continues at coordinate 155,420,264 of NC_000005.10, read as the reverse complement.
TGATAAACACTGAACCCACAATAGTAATTACCCCTGTAAGGGATGGAAATAAAAAGAAGAGAGGGAGGGTGCATAGAAAGCTCCTATTTGCATCTGAAATGTCTAATTTCTTTAGCTAAAATAAATAGATCTGATGCAGATTTGGCATGATATTAAGATCTCATAAAGCTCGATATTTGGCATGTTGTGATAGCCTCTATTCTTGTCTATTTTAAATCATCTATGATAAAATTAACTATTCAGTGTTTTTAAGACTTGGAAATTTGTGCCATAAAAAATAAATCAGAATGTCTATAGATGTCAGGAGAGTTAGGAAGAGAGAGTGAAATGATAAGGAAACAGGATATAGATGGGATATTTGATCGCATACAGAGATTGAGCCCTAAAGAGCCAGGAGATCACAACACAGAAAAAAATTTTTTAACCATTTCTGCAGGGTTTCTCCTTATTTTCCTCCCCAGCTCTATCTCTCCTAGTTCTTTTGTTATTTGGTTTCAGTTGAGAACATTCTTAAGGGGCCTCTTCCTTAGTTTTTTCTTTTTACGTACAGTTTGAGATTGAATCTGTAATGGTTGTAAAAGAGAGGGCAAAATGAGAATTGAGAGACCTCAGTCTTTGCTATTTTGATCAACAGCCCATGTGGATATTTGCATCAGTGCGTTGTACTGTACTAACCAAACTGTTCCCAGATTTGGAGGAACTGCAGCTATGATATTTTCCATGGGACCTCTGAGCATAACAAAGCTGTCCCATCGGTGCTTCTGTGTCACGGCTCAGCTGTCCCATCAATGCTTCTGTATCACGGCTCACAACCTCTGAGCTGTGATATGGCAAGACAAGGTAAATGACATGCATGAATTTTGTGAGCCTGGTACAGCTTGGGATTATGCACAAAGCCAAAGTCCAGTTTCTCACCGTAAATTTAGTCAAAGTACACAAAAAGAAGTGTCAGGGAAGGTAGTTGACCAAAACATGAAGAAAAACAAACAAAACTCTGCTTCTGGTATGTGGAGAAGACTGGCAGTTTGAAGATGTTTTCGGAAGCAGAGATACCCAGATTGTCTAACAGCCTAACATTCCTTGGCAATTGCTCATCCCTTCCTTTCATATTGTCTCTGATAGCAAAGGCTGGATTTTGGTAATTGAATGATTGGGTTGAAATAATTAAGGAGATAGAGCTGTAACATCTGTTCTTTTGGTCATAACAACTGTTCTAAAAGCAACTCCTTCACTCATGAATTTTTATAGTGGATGAAGTAATTCTAAATGTGAGATAGAAACACAGCATTATTCTTTTTTAAAAAAAACCTGTATTTTCATTTTTGCAGCTCATTATTTTGCTTTGTCTACTACATATGATCTTCTCCAAAACTTTGAATTAAGAACTTATTCATAGCATTACTCTTGCTAACCTTGACATTAACTCCAAAGCTTCTAGACAAGTGCTATCCTTGGGCTTTGCACAGAATCAGGTTTTTCCCCAAGATATGTGTTCACTAGGACAATAGTTACATATATATATATATAATTATATATAAATATATATACACACACACACACAAACACACAATTATTTGTTTACTGTGAACCCATCCAGCTAGACAGCACTCTATGGGTGGGGGAGGGGAATAGTAACTAACTTGTTCACCACTGTATATTAGTGCCTAGCATAGAGTTCGCACTATAGCTGGTGTTTGTTATGGGCTGAATCATGTCTCTCCAAAACCCATACATAGAAACCCTAACCCTTAATGTGACTGTATTTGGAGATAGGACTTTAAGGAGATAATTGAAGTTAAATGAAGTCATAAGAGTGGGGCCAATTAGGGGCCCTATGGAATTACCAATAGACTGATGTCCTCATAAGAAGAGAAAGAGATACCAGAGCTTCCTCTCTCTCAGTCACGCATATAGAAGAGGCCACATAAGGACACAGCAAAAGGGGGCAGCCACCTACACACCAGGAAGAGAGGTCTCATCAAAAACCAACGCTGATGGCACCTTGATCTTAGACTTCTAGCTTCCACAATATGAGAAAATACATTTCTGCTGGTTAAGTCATCCAGTCTATGGCATTTTATTATGGCAGCTCAAGCTGACTAATCCAGTGCTCAATAAATTTTGGTGAAATAAATGGCATGGTGATGGTGATAAGCAGAATAAATGACAGGCTGATAGAGCATAAACAGTAAGGTGTAGAAAGGTACAAGCTATTGAGTCAATATTAATTCAGATCGAGTTCTTCCTAAATATACAAAATTAAATGTTATTCTCAGATAAAAGATATTAAATTATATTTAATAAGAATAGATGCAGAAAAACAAGTTTTATTCTTGATTGTTTGGGTTTTTTTTAAGGAAGCGGAAGTATTCAATTTTAAAAACATACTTGACCTTCCTAATCCATTTTAGTAATTTCCATGATTATTAAATAACAATTCCAAATGTTCATACAATTCATAAAATGTTAATTCTATGCCTAAAGTACCCTGATTGCTTTAGGCCTTTGTTCACTTAAACATGGACTTCAAGAGGGAATATTTAAAGTTCCTTCAGGACACAACACATTTCTTCTTGCCCCATATATATATATATATATGTGTGTGTGTGTGTGTGTGTGTGTGTGTGTGTGTGTGTGTGTGTGTGTGTGTATTTCTGACCTCCTCATCAAAATTAGGTTTCTATTATCTTCTCCCCAGTACCCTATTCATTTGATGTGCAGCACTTATCACAATTAGAAATTATAGATTTACTTGTATATTTTTAAATATGACTCTCCCTCTAAATAGGAAGCTCCATGAGGGAGGATATTATGTCAAACTTTATCCTACCACAGTATTTTCTGCACCTAGCAAGCACAATGCCCATCACATAACAGGTACTCAATAAGTATTCATTTCATAAATAATTACAGTAGAATAATTAAATTTTCCACCCATTTCTCTGAACTCCAAGAGTAAATAAAAATTCTTACCTTCATCTTAATATCTAAAACCAATCCAATAAGGACTTCCAATAAGCCATTTTTGAATTGTTTGCATACCCTCTGAGTTTTGCACTACAACCACAGGCAACACAGAAACATTTTCTCTTGCCAAAGTTGAATGAATCCATCAAGAGAAATAAATGCTGCCAGTGACTTTCAAATACTCTTCTTGGTGACTGGCAAAAAAGAGGATAAAAGTGGTCTTGCCAAGTGGACCAGCCATCCTCTTTGAATCAGCACTCAACATGGTTGACTTAGCACCCAGGAACTGTTCTCCAAAAGTCCAGAAGACAAATAGACTTGCCTGACTATCATGAACATGTTTGCTTTTCCTATTCATTGTGACTCACAGTGACTGATGTGTGGTGCTACAGGTCATAATAAAAAATAATCACAAAAATCTAACCATTGTTACCAATAATGAGCTTCCCGTAGTTAAAAAACTCCTGAAATTGTATCTGAGCAAAGATTTTTCCAACATGCTTGAGTAACTTAGATCATTATCCAGTAATTTATATTTCTGGAAAGGCCTTTGAACAATAAGCTGAGAGTGTTTCATAGTCTTTAAAATCAAGTCTGTCAGAAAACACATTGTGAAAAAGGAAAAGTTCATGACATAAATCTTTATGTTGGTTTAAAGTTTAATAACTCTTTCTACATTCTCATCTTCTAGTCATTTACTTTGGGTATACAGGGAAGTGCATTATACTCAGTGGACCCACTGATCAGTGAGGAATAAATTGGGGAGGTGCATTAAGCCTTTTAGGCCATTAGGATATCATTTAGTGCATTGGAGAAGGTCATTTACTTACAGCAAGGAGCCAAGGTCCCTCTCAAAGATGAGCCATTTAATCCCAGCTCACCCACATGATCCTGCCCCATATGCATTTACCAGTTTAATTTCCTCTGTAGGTTTGCTTTTATTTGTCCTATTTTATTTCTCCCATTTTATAGTCATGTTGTCTAATTTAAACTTAATTAAAACTTTCAATTAGGAAAAAAAACAGATAGTTCTAGAGACCTCCCAGGAAAAACTTCATTAATGGGAACTACTTAATAAGCAAAATACCTCAGTGCAAAGACTAAATCCAAAACTTCAAAGGTCCAATTTGTTTTTACCAAAGCCTGGCTTATGTCGGCCAGCAATGGCTAAATGCCTCAAGGCACCTTGGATTTGGAGAGTTTGGAGCCCAAAATCACACATGTTTGGCTTCAGGTGCAGGAAAGTATTGCATTCACCTGAGCCCTGTGATTGATTCAAGAGTGAACCACCACCCAAACCAGAGCAAACAAAGCCAAAACAATGAAAGGACTTTTTCTGGAACTACTGGGAAAGATGTTCTATCTTCTCTGTACTTTTCAAACTGATAAGTATGATTCTAGAGCTTTTGGAAGTCTAAGAAGCCAAGGAAGACGAAGCCAGAGCCTGAAAATCGAGAGACAAATTCCTGAAAATGCTTATTTAAACACTTCATCCCACTGTGCCTGAAGCAAGTGTAACTACATTTTTCAGGTATATAGACCCCAAAAAAAGGTCACTTTCCACCTTTCTGCTTCTCCACTTAAGACCTAGGTCCTACCATCCATCAAAGTTTCAGCAGCACTGGCTTTTGCCTTTTTGAGTTGTGTTTTATTATTTGCAGCAAAGATATTCCTAGTAAACACAGGTAGATTCTATTGTCTTCTCTCTTTTTACAAAACAGGATACTAAGACTTAGAGAAGTTCAATTGTTCAGGATCATGTAGATAGTAAATGATGGATCTGGCTCTAAAACCCATGTCCTTAACCACTGACCCAAACCACACAATTTACACATTGACTCTGTTATCAGGGCTGTACTGATTCTCCAGAGAAACAGAACCAACAGGAGATAGATAAAGACATAGAGATAGAGATATAGATAGAGATAGAGATGGAGATGGAGATGGAGATGGAGATGGAGATGGAGATAGAGAGAGAGAGAGAGACATAATTTAAGAAATTATCTTACATGATTGTGGAGGCTTGGTGAGTCCAACATCTGATAGAATAGGCCAGCAGGCTGGAGACTCAGGGAAGAGTTGCAGCTTGAATTCAAAGGCAGTCCACTGATAGAATTCCCTCTTGCTCAGGGGAGGTCAGTCTTTGTTCTTTCTGGCCTTCAAATGATTGGGTGAGGCCAACGCACTTTATGGAAGAGCTATTTTACTCAAAATCCACTGATTTAAATATTAATCTTATCAAAAAAGCAATAAAACACCTTCACAGAAACATCTTGAATAGTGTTTGACCAAATATCTGGACACTGTAGCCCAGCCAAATTGACATGTAAAATGTATCTTCACTAGGACTCATGAAGACAATGCCTTTGCCCCCCTTCACTGGAACATGGCAGATTCAACCATCTGAGAAAAGTCCAGGAATGGGCTCACTCTCCTCAAGATTAGCACTGATGTCATCTTGCCCTGAGGTCTGGTCATTCTCCCAGGGGTTTTATAAATCTCTACGGTCTGTCCGAGAAATTCATCAAAGACTAGTCTGGCCACAGCTGCTCCTGGACAGGGACTTCCCAGGGAGTTCCATGAAGGTTCTTGTCAATACAGGTAAGTGCTAAAAAGGTCACTGGTCATCAGAAACAGTAAGGGCACCCTGAAAAAGATATGGCTGGCGAGATGGGATGTCTGCCCCTGGTTTTCTGTCCTAAAGGAATGTAGCCACCCTAAAGAAAATGAACACCATCTAAAGCAGGTCTCAGGTGGAGTACTTTGTCAGAGACTGCCATCTCTTCCTGACTTTCCTTCTTTTTTCACTTCATTGTTTATCTGGGGACTCGAATGTCACATATCTCAAAGAAACATTTGGGTTGGTCTGCATGACCCTTTACTTTGTCACCTTGATTTTATTCAAGGGAATTTGTCTTTATTCCTTTAGAATAGAAACCCACCATGTTTTTTCTTATTCTCCTTTCACCTTTAAGCTTTTTCCACTTTTCTTCATAAAATATTTTTCTCAATATGTGCCCTGTTTTTATGTCTTCCAGACAGACACACCTGGAGAAGTCTATAGAGTTCCTCCTCTTCCACAAGATGAAATTCCCTGTGCAGGAATTATACACCTGCCTACTGAGAGGATGGTCCTTTCTGACTTACCACACCTGCCTGCCATGATATGAGAAGTCATGGGGTTTTAAATCCATTGTCTGTGATACGGAAAGCAGCTCAGAGGGCAACATGCCACAGGCTGGAGGGGCACAGTCTTGGGTATTATTGTCTTCTAGGCCTCTGGAGACTATTTAGTGATATCTGATCGGGGCTACAGGCCTGACCTCTGTCAGGAAACAGGGGCTGTTAAACCTCTTGGAATACACCCTCAGTGAATAATAGATAACCCATGGCCACGTTTCAAAACTGTAACAAGTGGACAATAAGTTCACTTATTTGTAAGTTGGCCCAAGTCCTCCCTTCCGCAGATTCATAGGGGAAACTGCTTGTGGATTTCTTCCCTCAATAAGGAGGATCAAGTAGACATTCTCTAGATCAAGAGCTATCCTTAAAATTAAAAAAGAAAAAGTGTCAGGATACGTATTAGGCTCTCTGGACTTAGAATATTAGTGCCTACAGAAAAGGGAAGTCTACTTCCCTTCCAGACCCACCTAGAATATTCTTAGAGTACAGGGAAACAATTGGTTTCTCTGCCTCTCCATATCTCAGTAAATCACCAAGCTACCATCCTTAAGAAGTGCCTTTTTAAATATCCTAAATGGAAATCTCATCAATTGCTCCCCTGATTTATTCCCTCAGTGACTTCCAATTGTCCTTAGGATTAATAATAAAAACAATAATACCAACAGCTGGCATTGCATGCTGTGTGCCATGTGCTACCCTAAGTGCTTTGACCTTCACCTGCCCTTCTCCTCAAACTCATACTTAGCCTGGCACCTATACTTCTCCATGTCTTAAAAAATGCCAGACTCTCCCTCACTCTCTAGATCTTCCAATACGCCACTTCCTCCACCAGTGCTCTTCCCCTGGCCCACTCCTCTCCTGTTCATTCTGCAGACATAAGCCTACATACAATATCTGGAGGGAGGTTTTTATAGAGCATTGGGGCACTCATAGGCATTGTGGAGGTATCATCATCATTTAGCCACTGCTGAGATTTTGAACCTTCTGATCTTGAGTTCCACCTTGTTCCTACCACAAAGCCTCTTCAGGGCTACTGACTCACTGGATCATGTTGCTGTGGTTTTGGGGTGCTTGTTGGTATGGGGAATGGGACACTGTACTCCTTCAGCATCAGTGGGGACTGTGGGAATCTCTGCTTCCATATTTCTGAATCCCCCCATCCTCTCTGTGTCTAGTAGCCCTGTCTGCTGAGGTTCTGCCTGGGCTGAGGTAGGAGTGGGGGAGGAAACAGAGACAATATGGGGAGCCTTGGAGACCACTCATACCTAAGCTCCCCAGCTTCCCTTTATCATTCTCATCTTCATGTCATTCAGATAATCTTTACTAGTCTCCAGGTGTAGGGAAAACTTTGCTCTTATTCATTTCATAGACTTCTAACTATTTTGTATATGCCCAGCCTAGGCTTTTAAAATTTCAAAACCAAAAGATATGAGCAGTTTTTCTTTTCCAATGTCGATCCTCTGTGGCAATAAATGCTTCTGTTATTGGGGGGCATCACCTACGCAACAACCATTTCCCATTTCCCCTGCTAGCAGAGCCCCGATTTTCTTTTGTGGGGAAGCTATCTGCACCCTACAATGACTCAGAACCTAAGCCAAGTCCAAGTCAATCATGGTCCCAATCCCTTTGCCATTGATTGGCTTAGGTGAAGAGAGGTGATGCCCTCCAGCCAATGAGACACAAAAGAATGCTGGGCGGCCCTGGGAAAGGTATCCTTAATAAAATGAAAAGAGTCTGCATCCTTAATGATGCTGATGGGCCACTAGGCTAATCAATCCTAGAGCTGTTCTAACTCCAGACTTATTAATATTAATTAAAATTTATGAGATGATAAAGTCCTTATTGTTTAAAACAAAATTTTCTGTTATTTGGAGTCAAACACATCCTAATCAATAAAGTGGGAAATGAGAAGTTTACAAGAATATGCAAGGAAATGAAATCCAGTAATATCACCTCTATTAATACCATCCATAGTCAGTCAGGGAGAAAAGGATCTGGGAAAGGAGAGACCAGATCCAGTAAGTGGACAGAAATATCAAGGGCTCACCAAAAAAAGCCTTTATACAAGACCAGAGTACTATTCTAATCTTTGAGACTGTTGACCTACGTGTGATCTGTATGCATTCTCTCTCTCTCTCTCCTACAAATATTTATTAGTAGATAGTGAATATGGATACAGTCATACAGTACTCATGCTTAGACCTATATATGATACTTCTATTGTGCTGAAAGCAGTGGTTTTTGAAAGCTTGTTATTTTAGTAACTTAGCTCTGAGACCATGCATAAAAGACAAGGGAAGGTCAACAGCATGGGATGGAGGATGTATACCAGGCATACATTTATTCCTGTACCCTACACCAAGCCTGTGGAAGGCATCACCGGGCCGTCACAGAATTCTTTCCTGTTGAAACTGGATATTTCAGAATGTGTTCAAGGAAGCTACTAGCAATTTATTGGAGACAACAACAGGAAAAAATTTATGTAACTAGCTTCCTTGACCTAATCAATCTAGGACCATGATCAATAGTAAGTCCCAGATCCAAGGTAGTAGCTTGAGAAGGGCAGGCAAAGTGGGATGCTTGACTTTTCACTGTGCAAAAATGAAACTGATGAAGGGAATGGCATACCTCAAACCCTCTGAACTTGGTTGATAAGGCTCTCAACCTTACAGAGCTGAGGTACCAAGCCAGTAAGGTGTTTAGTAAAAAAGAAAGTGTATCCACATCTTGAATTGCTCTGCATTTTCATTGAGAAGTGAAAGAATGAATAGAAACCTCCAATCATCACTCGGCACAGACTTCCTGCAGCAGCCAGAAGCCCTGGAAAAATGGTTGCATTCTTTTATTTCTTTCTACCGTGACATGTTTGGATCTGCCAATATCTTGCTTTAGGAAGAACAGGGTCACAGCATGGCAGTCATTTTGGGCTGTATCTAGGGGGAACATCTTACAAATGGTGGACTCCTGACCCAGTAAAGGCCCAACAAAAGAGGGTTCTGACATGTCAATAATCTTTTGTCCATTTGGCCGGACACCCTGGAGAGGTGAGTACATTCTCTCAGGACTCTCTCTTGCCTGCCAAGGGCCTGGATGGAGAAATAAGGGTGTTCCATGGGCAAGGATTCAGTCTGGCCTGGAGGGTATCCTGCAACTATTTATTTCTCCATTTTTAAATTGCTTAAACATGGGAAAGCAAGCTTTGAACTAGAGGTGATGCCTTGCTGCTCAAAGCAGTTCCCATTTCCGCCACTGCATTCTCTCAGGACTGCCTTGAAGTAGCCTCAACTTCACCTCAAGAAACACCATCCAGATCTGTGGTGGTACAAATATTAGGAATGTTTGTCTCCTCTCTGCCCTTGTTTTGACCATACTTTTCCAGTTACAGTGGTTGTTGTTTGTTGTCGTTGTTGTTGTTGTTGTTGTTATTTGCAGTTGTGACCTCATGTTCAGATTTAGAGAGTTCAGCAAATTGCCCTGAAAGCTTGTTTTTGCAGTAAGTTGCTATTTGGACATTGGACATGGGTGGGCGAGGGCGGACACTCTATTTGGAGTAGCTGTGAAGTGTACACGGCCATGTTTTGTCAGGAGCCCTTGGAGACACTGTGTGCTTCCACAGACTCCCATGGGACACAATTTGTCTGAAAGACAGTGTTTCAGCACATAGAGCATTGGAAGTTTGCATTCTTATTCTTATTAACCCCCTATTTCAACTCTTTAGGCCAGGCTGGCTTCTGTCACGGGAGAACCTGTCTAAAAATCTCCACATTGAGATCTCATTGCTTCGGTTAAACCTAGCTTCTTTGAAAAATAGAACTACGGGCCTGGCACAGTGGCTCATGCCTGTAATCCCAGCACTTTGGGAGGTGGAGGCGGGCAGATCACTTGAGGTCAGGAGATTGAAGCCAGCCTGGCTGACACAGTGAAACCCTGTCCCTACTAAAAATACAAAAATTAGCCGGGCATGGTGGCGCACGTCTGTAATCCCAGCTACTCAGAAGGCTGAGGCAGGAGAATTGCTTGAACCCAGGAGGCGGAGGTTGCAGTGAGCAGAGATCGCACCATTGCGAGGCTCCGTCTCAAAAAAAAAGAAAATAGAACTCCAGAAGTGATGAGAATGAAGCCCTGTTATCAGATGATCCTGCCTTTTCCACTACAGTGCAGTGGGGCCTTGGGCACATCACTTCCTATTATCTGAGCTTCCATTTCCCACGTGCAGAAGGTGGGAGCTGATTTCTAAGTTCTCTTCTAGTTCATGCTCAAGGATTACCTTTTTCATCAAGCCTTTCCTAATCATTCCACCTTTCAGTTATATTTTTTCTCCTCTGAGTCTGTACCATGTCATCAGTTCTTGGTTATTTCCACAATCTTGTATTGCTTTCTACATTTTTACTGTGCGTAAGTAGTGTTGCTTGAGTAGAGCGATAAACTCTTTCAGGGCATGGAATATATCTTCTATGGCTGTAAAAGTATCATTGTGTAATTCTGGGCTTATAAAGATACTTGTCTGGAATTGTTTACTTAGCCATGATTACTGTCTATTTCACAAAAATGCTGTAAGAATCTAATAATTTTGAATCTCTTCTGAGATGAACATACTCTTCTCAGTTTTCCAAGATAACAATTGGTAACATCTTTGAGTCAATAGCTCTTTACAGTTTCCAAAGAATTTTCACAGTTGCTACCTCACTTCAACCTCTCAAGAACTCTGTGAAATAGATAAATGGTACCAGCATAGTTATCACTATCTTTAAGGTGAGAAAATTTGGGTTCTATCTCTTTAAGATCATACAGTTATTTAGTAACAAATCTGGGTCTGGCACCCAGTTATGCTAACTCCAAGTTCAATGTTGCTTCTGTTATTTTATGCTGCAGTTGCCTTGGTGTTTCTTTGGAATGACAAAAGCCAGTTATATAGATGAAAAAATAAGACGTGGATGGGAGAGGAACGTATAGGTTTAGGGTTAAGAACCAAAACTAGACTCTTGTTGTAGATGTGGGATTAAATCTCCAATCTGGATGTCACTAGTTGCTCACTGAGTGATCTTGTGCAATTTAATTAAACTAACTAGTCCGAATTTCCTATTCTTAAAATGAATATTGCAATAATACCTACTCAAAAGAATTCTAAGAATTAAATAATGCACATGAATGACTTCAATGGCTTGACGCATAGTGGAGCTTCATGACCATTAATGATTGTGAGCATTACTACATGACCTTACATCAGGAGGCAGAGCAGCCTTGGATAATTACATTTGTGAAAGACACGGGGGGGCTCGTTTTTCCCTATCAATATTTTTTTAATTTCATTTTTTCACAAAGTGATGTTGCTATGAATGCTTGGCCACCACATGCCAGCTATTCCTGTAGTCACTTTTCTGACATCTGCTTGAAACCCAAAAGGTCAGAAGGATCATGAGGCCCTGCTTTCAAGGTCTGTATTCATACTGAAAATCAAGATCAAGTGAACTTTTTCCCTAATGCCCCATGCGAGGTTTCTGTCCTCCCTGAGCTTGCCTTAGAACACCTGCATTACTGTTTGACCGGTGTACACTCTAATATTTTTTATTCTTCGAATTATCCTGAATTGGCTAAATCTGGCTCTTATAGAGCTTCTCTTTTTGATGAGCATGACTAACTATGAAATACAGATTCACAAAAGTTAGGGGAACTAATGGAAGATATTGGCAGTGAATGCATTCTTAGACTTGTCTATCCCAATGCTTCCCAAACTATCCATAGTGAAGAACTCAGTTTTTCTGTTTATTTGTTTTTAAATTTCTAATCTGTTGCAGACTGATAGTTTTGTAAAATACAATAAAAACACTGTGACAATGTTAACTTACCATAAGTTTATATAGATGCTTACTCTCAGTTTCTGTCTTAAGGGCACTGCAAACTAGTTCACAGACCACACTTAAGGTAGCACTGGTCTATCCAGAGTCCTTCCAAGGAATCCTTATCACATCCAAGGTGTGAGCTAGTCTGACCTCAGAGCATTCCCCAAACCCAGAAAGTAAGATCAGTTTGCAGTGGAGTTTTTTTTTAATAAGTAAAAAGAAACAGAATAAATTTAATCCAATGTGCGTGAAATATTATCATCTTAACATGTAATGTATATTTAAAACTATTAATATTTTACATTCTCTTTTTCATACTAAGTCTTTCAAATATAGTATAAAATATTTTACACTTATAGCACTTGTTAATTCTCACTTTCCACATTTCAAGTGCTTGATAATACATGTGGATAGTGATTGTTATATTGGATAGGGCACAACTGGATTTTTTTTTTTTTACTTCAACAAGTTTTTGGGGAACAGGTGGTGTTTGGTTACATGAATACATTCTTTAATGGTAATTTCTGAGATTTTGGTGCACCCATCACTGAGCAGTGTACACTGTACCCAATGTGTAGTATTGTATCCCTTTGTTTCTGGGTTCTCTATTCTGTTTCATTGGTCTACATACTTATTTTTATACCAGTACTATGCTATTTTCGTGAATATAGCCTTACAGTATAGTTTGAAGTCAGGTAATGTAATGCCTCCAGATTTGTTCTTTTTGCTTAGTCTTGCTTTGGCTATGTAAGTTCTTTTTGGTTCCATATGAATTTTAGGATTATTTTTTCTAGTTCCATGAAGAATGATGGTGGTATTTTGATGGGAATTGCATTGAACTTGTATATTGCTTTTGGTAGTATGGTCATTTTCACAGTATTGATTCTACCCATTCATGAACATAGGATGTGTTTCCATTTGTTTGTGTGGTCTATGATTTCTTTCAGCAGTGTTTTGTAGCTTTCCTTGTAGAGATCTTTCACCTCCTTGCTTAAATGTATTCCTTTTTTTTTTTTTTTTTTTTTTGCAGCTATTGTAAATGGGGTTGAGTTCTTGATTTGATTCTCAGCTTGTTTGCTGTTAGTGTATAGCAGGGCAACTGATTTGTGTACAATAATTTTGTATTCTAAAACTTTGCTGAATTTATTTACCAGTTTTAGGAGCTTTTAAGATGAGTCTTTAGGGTTTTCTAGGTATACAATCATGTCATCAGCAAACAGCGACAGTTTCACTTCCTCTTTACTGATTTGGATGCCCTTTATTTCTTTCTCTTGTCCTCTGGCTAGGACTTCCAGTACTGTGTCAAATAGAAGTGGTGATAGTGGGCATTCTTGTCTTGTTCCAGTTCTCAGGGGGAATGCTTTCAACTTCTCCCCATTCAGTATAACGTTGGCTGTCGGTTTCTCTTAGATGGTTTTTATTACCTTAAGGCGTGTCACTTCTATGCTGATTTTGCTGAGGGTTTTAATCATAAAGGGATGCTGAATTTTGTCAAATGCTTTTTCTGTGTCTATTGAGATGATCATGTAATTTTTGTTTTTATTTCTGTTTATGTGGTGTATCACATTTATTGACTTGCATATAGTAAATTATCTCTGCATCCCTGGTATGAAACCCACTTGATCATGGTGGATTATCTTTTTGATATGCTGTTGGATTTGGTTAGCTACTATTTTGTTGAGGATTTTTGCATCTATGTTCATCAGTGATATTGGTCTGTAGTTTTCTTTATTTTTTGTTATGTCCTTTCCTGGTTTGGGAATTAGGGTGATATTGGCTTCATACAATCCTCTTTCTCTATCTTTTGGAATAGTGTCACTAGGATTGGTACCAATTTTTCTTTGAATGTCTCATAGAATTCAGCTGTGAATCCATCTGGTCCTGGACTTTTTTTTGTTGGTAGCTTTTTGATTACCACTTCAATCTTGCTGCTTGTTATTGGTCTCTTCAGAGTTTCTATTTCTTTCTGGTTTAACGTAGGAGGGTTGTGTACTTCCAGGAACTTATCCAATTCCTCTAGGTTTTCTAGTTTATGTGCATAAAGTTGTGCATAGTAGCCTTGAATGATCTTTCGTATTTCTGTGGTATCAGTTGTAATCGCTCCTGTTTCATTTCTAACTGAGCTTATTTGGATCTTCTCTCTCCCTTTCTTGGTTAATCTCACTAATGGTCAATCAATTTTATTTATCTTTTCAAAGAACCAGTTTTTTGTTTCATTTACCTTTTGTATTGTTTTTGTTTGTTTGTTTCACTTTCATTTACTTCTGCTCTAATCTTGGTTATTTCCTTTCTTCTGCTGGATTTGGGTTTGGTTTGTTCTTGTTTCTCTAGTTCTTGAGGTGTGACCTTAGATTGTCTATTTGTGCTTTCAGATTTTTTGATATAGGCATTTAAGGCTATGAACTTTCCTCTTGGCACTGCCTTTGCTGCATCCCAGAGATTTTGATAGGTTGTGTCACTATTATTGTTCAGTTCAAAGAATGTTTTAATTTCCATCTTGATTTCATTGTTGACCCAATGATCATTCAGGAGGAGGTTATTTAATATCCATGTATTTGCATGGTTTTGAGGGTTCCTTATGGAGTTAATTTCCAATTTTATTGACTGTGATCTGAGAGGGTACTTGATATAATTTCGATTTTCTTAAATTTGTTGAGACCTGTTTTGTGGCCTATCATATGGTCTATCTTGGAGAATGTTCCATGTGCTGATAAACAGAATGTATATTCTGCAGTTGTTGGGTAGAATGTTCTGTAAATACCTGTTAAGTCCATTTGTTTTAGGGAACAGTTTTAACCCCTTGTTTCTTTGCTGACTTTCTGTCTTGAGGACCTGTCTAGTGCTGTCAGTGGAGTATTAAAGTTCCCCACTATTATCGTGTTGCTGTCTATCTCATTTCTTAGGTCTAGTAGTAATTGTTTTATAAATTTGGGAGCTCCAATGTTAGATGCACATATATTTAGAATTGTGATATTTTCCTTTTGGACTATTCCTTTTATCATTATATAATGTCCCTCTTTGTCTTTTTTAACTGCTGTTGCTTTAAAGTTTGTTTTCTCTGATGTAAGAATAGCTACTCTTGCTTACTTTTGGTGTCCACTTGCATGGAGTATCTTTTTCTACCCCTTTACCATAAGTTTATGTGGGTCCTTATGTGTCAGGTGAGTTTCTAGAAGACAACAGATACTTGGTTGGTGAATTATCCATTCTGCCATTCTGTATCTTTTAAGTGGAGCTGTTAGGCCATTTACAACCAACATTAGTATTGAGATGTGAGGTACTATTCATTGTGTTATTTGTTGCCTCAATCTCTTGCTTTTGTTGTTGTGTTATAGGTCCTGTGAGATTTATGCTTTAAGGAGGTTCTATTTTATTGTATTTTGAGGATTTGTTTCAAGATTTAGAGCGCCTTTCAGCAGTTTTCATAGTGCTGGCTTAGTAGTGGCAAATTCTCTCAGTATTTGTTTGTCTGAAAAAGACCTTCTTTCCTTCATTTATGAAGCTTAGTTTTGCCAGATACAAAATTTGTGGCTGATAATTGTTTTGTTTAAGGAGGCTAAAGATAGGACCCCAATTCCTTCTACCTTGTAGGGTTTCTGCTGAGAAATTTCCTATTAGTCTGCCTGGTTTTCCTTTATAGGTTACCTGATGCTTTTGCTTTACAGCTCATAAGATTTTTCCTTTGTCTTGACTTTAGATAACCTGATGTGCCTAAGTGATTATCTTTTTGTGATGAATTTCCCAGGTGTTCTTTGAGCTTCTTGTATTTGGATGTCTAGATCTCTACCAAGGTTGGGGAAGTTTTCCTCAATTATTCTCTCGAATATGTTTTCCAAACTTTTAGACTGCTCTTCTTCCTCAGGAACACCAATTATTCTCAGGTTTAGTTGTTTTAACATAATGCCAAACTTCTTGGAGGCTTTCATTTTTTAAATTCTTTTTGTCTTTGTCAGACTGGGTTAATTTGAAAGTCTTGTCCTTGAGCTCTGAAGTTCTTTCTTCTACTTGTTTGATTCTATTGCTGAGAGTTTCCAGTGCATTTTGCAATTCTCTAAGTGTGTCCTTCATGTCCAGAAGTGATTGTTTTTTACTTTTGCTTTCTATTTCACTGGAGATTTCCCATTAACATCTTGTATCTATTTTTTTTTTTTATTTCTTTGAGTTGGACTTCATCTTTCTCTGGGGCTTCATTGATTGGCTTAATATTTGACCTTCTGAATTCTTTTTCTGGCAATTCAGAGATTTTGTCTTGGTTTTGATCCACTGCTGGTGAGCTAGTGTGATCTTTTGGGGGTATTAAATAACTTTGTTTTGTCATATTACCAGAATTGTTTTCCTGGTTCCTTCTCATTTGATTAGACGATGTGAGAGGAAAGATCTGGGGCTCAAGGGCTGCTGTTCAGATTCTTTTGTCCCATGAGGTGCTCCCTTGATGTGATGCTCTCTCCCTTCCCCTAGGGATAGGGCTTCCTGAAAACTGAACTGCAGTGGTTGTTATTTTTCTTCCGGATCTAGCCACCCAGCAGAGCTACCAGGCTCCAGGCTGGTAATGGGGAGTGTCTGCAAAGAATCCTGTGATGTGATCCATCTTCAGATCTCTTAGCCATAGATACCAGCACCTACTCCGGTGGAGGCAGCAGGGGAGTGAAGTGGACTCTGTGAGAGTCCTTGGTCATATTTTTGTTATGTGCCCTGGGTTTGTGTTTATTGGCCTCCAGCCAGGAGGTGGTGCTTTCAAGAACGCATCCACTGCCATTGTGTAGGGAGGATTCAAGCTTGCCCTAGGGCCAGGCAGTGGGCGGAGCCGTAGAGCTGCCAAAGGACTGTGTCATTTGTCTTATGCTACCAGGGTGGGTAGAGAAAGACCATCAGGTGAGGACAGGGTTAGGCATGTCTGAGCTCAGATTCTCCTTGGGCGGGGCCTGCTGCAGCTGCTGTGGGGGATGGAGCTGTGGTTTTCAGGCCAATGGAGTTATGTTCCCAAGAGGATTATGGCTGCCTCTGCTGTATCACACAGGTCACTGGTGAAGTGGGGGAAAGCTGGCAGCCATAGGCCTCACCCAGCTCCCACGCAGCTACCAGCTCCAAAGGCTGGTCTCACTCCCACCATGCCCCTGCAATAGCACTGAGTTTATTTCCAGGCAGCTGGTGAGCAGAGCTGAGAACTTGCCTCAGGCTACAAGCCTCCTAGCTGAGAAAGCAAGCCAACTCACAGTTCCTCTATTGTCCCATGGAGTCTGCAACAGCAATCTACCTCCTTCAAAGGGCCTGTGATTCTCTTGGCTTTCCTGGTATGTTCCTGTGGTAGTTCTTGGAGCAAAAGTTCACAGTGTGGGTCTCCACATGCTCCTCTGTTCATCCGAGTGGGAGCTGCAAATTAGTCCTGCCTCCTATCTGCCATTTTCCAACCCTATCCTGCAGTGGAGTTTTTGCGTAGAAAATGCTTTGATAGTCCTTTAACTAAAAAAAATAAATAAAAGTCCTCCTAAGATACTGTTTTTCTGATAAAGCATTTGTGCTCAGGCCTGGAAGTCTAATTTCCTAGTAGTAAAATAAAATATTTCAGTCCATTAATGTAGTACAATTCATCCGGTAAATTCTCTAATAAGTAGGGGGTGGAGGATAAAGATGAGAACTGAGTGGGATTCAACTGTGGCAATTTTCTGAAATGATGAACTGCTCCAAAAAACATCAAGCTTGATCACAGGGTCTCTAAGTTGGAAAGCAGAGGTGATGAGTTAAGAAACTAGGGAAATGAAGGACAGCCATTAACGAGAAGCCAGACGACAACTATACCAGGAAGCAGGAGGGAATGTCCTTGTCAGTCTCACCAAGGATTCAGTAGCATGGTGGTAGGTGTGCTTTTTCCTCTTCTTATCCTGTAGAATCCAGTCATTTTTATTTGTTTCTTCCTTCATTCATTCATTCAACCAGCACATGGTTCTTTAGTGCCTTCCTAGCATTTTTCTAGGCATTAAAGACACATCAACAGACAAATCATCCAACTTATGGGCTATTGGGGAGACAACAGACAATTAAACAAGCATTTGCCGTCAAGAGTGATACTATGGGAGCGTGTGTTAACAAAGTCTAACCTGGCCTCTAAGGTCAGAGAAAGATTTTCTTTTCTTTCTTTTGTTTCTGTTTTGAGACAGGATCTTACTCTGTTGCCCAAGCTACAGAGCAGTGGCATGATCACAGCTCTCTGCAGCCTCTACCTCCCCTGGGCTCATATGATTCTCCTACCTAAGCCTCCCTTGTAGCTGGGACTAATTTCCACAGGAGCAAGAACAACATGGATTAGAAAGGTGAGCCAGGCGCGGTGGCTCATGCCTGTAGCGGATCACGAGGTCAGGAGATCGAGACCATCCGGGCTAACGCGGTGAAACCCCGTCTCTACTAAAGGTGCAAAAAATTAGCCAGGCGTGGTGGCAGGAAACCTTAGTCCCAGCTACTTGGGAGGCTGAGGCAGGATAATGGAATGAACCCGGTGGACGGAGCTTGTAGTGAGCCAAGATGGAGCCACTGCACTCCAGCCTGGGCAACAGAGCGAGACGCCATCAAAAAAAAAAAAAAAAAAAAAAAGGGTGAGAACAGGGTGCAAAATGCTATTTATTCACCAGAAGTGAACCCAAATACCCAAATGTTCACATCCTCAAATAGTGGGCACATTGGTAGGAGTAGGAAGTCTTAAGAACAAACTTGGGAGGTTCACCATGGTGAGTTGAATTAGGTATTTAATAGGTATTTAATTATTTTTATTGTATTTATTTTACTTTATTTTATTTTATTTTTTTTGAGACAGAGTCTTGCTTTGTCACCCAGTATGGAGTGCAATCCAGTGATACAATCCCGGCTTACTGCAACCTCCACCTCCCAAGTTCAAGCGATTCTCCTGCCTCAGCCTCCTAAGTAGCTGGGTCTACAGGCATGCGCCACTGCACCTGGCTAAATTTTTTGTATTTTTAGTAAAGACGGGGTTACACCATGTTGGCCAGGCTGGTCTCAAACTCCTGACCTCAGGTGATCCACCCACCTCGGCCTCCCAAAGTGCTGGGATTACAGGCGTGAGGCACTGTGCCTGGCCTATTTATTTATTTATTTTTGAGACAGGCTGTCACTCTCACCCAGGCTAGAGTGCAGCGGTGCAATCTTGGCTCACTGCAGCCTTGACCTCCTGGGTTCAAGCGATCTTCTCACCTCAGCCTCCTGAAACACACGCCACCATGCTGGCTGTTTTGTTTTGTTTTGTTTTGTTTTGTTTTGTTTTTGTGACAGAGTCTTGCTCTGTCACCCAGGCTGTAGTGCAGTGATGTGATCTCAGCTCACTGCAACCTCCACCTCCTGGGTTCAAGAGATTCTCCTGCCTCCACCTCCTGAGTAGCTGGGATTACAGTCATGGGCCACCACACCTGGCTAATTTTTGTATTTTTTGTAGGGACAGGGTTTCACCATGTTGGCCAGGCTGGCCTTGAACTCCTGGGCTCAAGCAATCCTCCCGCCTCGGCCTCCCAAAGTGCTGTGATTACAGGCATAAGCCACCGCACCTGGCCAGGATTTTCTTCAGAGGAGTAATCAAGGGGTAGAGAAGAAGGTTCCAGGCAGAGAAACAGCATATGCAAAGGCATGAAAGGGCTTGGTAGGTTTAGAGATCGGAAAGATGCCCACGGCATCTGGATAAATACAGGGTGGGGTTGGAGACTTGGATATGAGGCAGAAAACATGCAGAAAGAATTGCTGGAGCCCCTTGAGAACCACAGGCTGGGTCCATTATCCTGAGCCCAATGGGAGCCTCACAAGAGCTTTAAACAGGAGTACAAAGTGGTATGATGGATTTGTGTTTAGAAATATGACCTTGGCTTCTATGTGGATAATTGATTTGATCCTGGGAGTCCCATCAGGGGACCACTGATAATCTGAGCTAAGGTGGCAGTAGTAAAGACAGAGAGAAAGGGATTGAGGATCATTAGGCAGGACTTTGAAATGATAGGATGTGAGCCATGAGGGGGAAAAAGGAGAGGAAGATGACCTCCAGGTTCTAGACTGTTCAATTGAATGAATGGTGAGCAATTGCCCGACCTCCTGCCTTGCCTGATAACTGGCACCACTGTACCCTGCTTGGCCTTATCCTGGACTGGCAGAGCAGTTTGTGATTGCAAAGACACCCAAACACTTCTGACTATAAATCAGTTGTTAGCCAAGAAAATTAAGTCATTATCTGCAATATATGAGAAAACAAAGAGGGGGCACGTGCACACACCCACACATACACTTACACACAAAGATGAAGACACAGAGACAGACAGGCAGACCAACTCATGAATGGGCAAACCTGCTTAGAGGGCTGGAGAATTTATGTAGAGTGGGGAACCTGATCCAAGTTTGTCAAACTAAGGAATTTTATTGCCTATAATTTTCTGTTTCTTTTTATTTATCTCTTTTTTTTTTCTGTGACATCTTCTTTCTTTCCTGGAGCTTTATTATCCTCAATCATTTCATATATTCTTTGTCTCCCCTGTTCTCCAAAATGAACTTTCTTTCTCCTCTGTCAAAACTTGCCTGCTCTGTGTTCTACTTCTTTAGTGTCAGGTCAGCCTTGTACAGCTAATCTCATACAGGATTTCAGGATTGAGTGGTTTAACTGATGATCCCTCAAAGATTTTTTTTTTTTTTTTTTTTTTTTTTTTTGCAGATAGAGTCTTGCTCTGTCGCCCAGGCTGAAGTACAATGGTGCGATCTCAGCTCACTTGCAATCTCCGCCCCAGGGTTCTAGCAGTTCTCCTACCTCAGCCTCCTGAGTAGCTGGGATTACAGGTGCCCGCCACCATGCCCGGCTAATTTTTTTGTATTTTTAGTACAGACGGGGTTTCACCATGTTGGCCAGGCTGGTCTTGAACTCCTGACCTCTGGTGATCCACCTGCCTCGGCCTCCTAAAGTGCTAGTATTATAGGCAAGAGCCACTGCGCCACGCCAAAGATTTTTTTTTTTTTCATTCTAAACAAATCTTTAAATGTTAGAGTGAATAATTGATGCCTGTCAAGCTTCGCCTCAGCAGAGGAAATGATATTGGTAGATGTTTTCCTGTTAGGTAAAGTTGATCAGGAGAGCTTTCCCATAAAAAGAAAGAAAGGAAAAGTTATTTATTTCCACCATCCACAAAATCAATAATACATTCTTCTTATAGAAAACTTAGCACGTAAGCTGGATGTTGTGGCACACACCGGTAGTCCCAGAGACTCCAGAGGCTGAGTCAGGATGATGGCTTGAGCCCAGGAGTTTTGGTGGTGGTGGTGTTTTGTCATATTTTATAAGTTTATAAGGAGGTAACTGCTTCCAGGCATATAAGCCCCACATGATGTTTAAAATCAGAGCCTGAGGTTGAATCCTACCTTGTCTTTCTCCTCCTTGGCTGGTATGCACGTGCTCAGGTGTCTGCTCAGAAGGCCAGGAGTAGAAGGCCACTGCTCAGGAGTAGTGGTGCTCCATTGTGCTGATGAGGTCACTCTGGTCCTCCAGGAGCTCCAGAACTTGCTGCAACATAGCCCTAACTAGAACCGGGCAGATGCTCAGGGTGAGCACAGGCCAAGATGTGCAGGAAGTGGCAGCCCTTCTTCGGGTGATTTGGTTTCTGGTAGTCTTCCTGAATTATCCAGTGGATTTTCCTATACAGGTCTTTGTCTTTTCTGGTTACACAGCATAGGTTATCAAAACCACCATCTTTCTGGAAAACGAGTCCTTTTTCCTGCAGCTGTTGAATAGCATTTTAAAATATGCTATAAATTGCCTTGAAAGTGATATCCTTCTTAAAATTTCCTTGTTCAGAGCAGGCACTGTCAGTAACAGGCTGGTTAGCAAGGGACAGCAAAGGCTCCACCATTTCCAACTCCTGCTGGTCAAAGTTCTGCACTCTGTTCTTTATGGGGAATTCTTTGGCTTTTTCACTCAGCAAACACATGAGACTAGTGAAGGCCAGGACACCTGGATTGCTTAGTGCTTCTTCTTTCTCTAAGTCTGGGCAATGGAAAGGCTTGGTCTAAACTTTCCTGTAGATTAATGGGCAGCTCAAACACCCTTGCAATTTGAATGTTCCACACTGGATCGTCCACTTTATAATAAGCAGTGGCATAAATTTGTCACTCTTCTCTGCACATGTAGACATAGCCTCTGATTCAGAACATGTCCCCAGTTTCAATTTTTGTTCTCTGCTCAATGGTGTCTTGCAGCTTCTTGAGTATTGAGGTAAAGCTCAGTTCTCTTGCTGCATTTGGAGCAGCGGATGAAAACTTGATATTGCTCAATATTTTCTAGCAGATGCAGTTTATAACTCCAGTGCTGATATAGTTTAGATATGTGTCCCTGCCCAAATATCATGTTGAATTGTAATCCCCAATGTAGGTGGGGCCTGGTAGGAGGTGTTTGGATTATGGGTGCAGATCCCTCATGGCTTGGTGCTGTCTTCATGATAGTGAGTTCTTGCAAGATCTGGTCATTTAAAAGTGTGACCCTTCCCCAGCCACTCTCTCTCCCTTGCTCCTGCTTTCATCCTGTGATACACCTGCTCCCCATTCACCTTCCACCAACTGTAAGCTTCCTGAGGGTTCCATCGAAGCCGAGCAGCTGCCAGCACCATGCTTCCTGCAAAACCTGCAGAACCATGAGCCAATTAAATCTCTTTTCTTTATAAATTACCCAGCCTCGGTTATTTATTTTTTATAGCAATGCCAGAACAGCCTAATACAAGTGCTATCATCTACTCTACAACTGTAGAAAACCTCTCTTTCTCTCACTCCAATGGCAGTTCCCAAGATACACCTGTTTTATTGGTTCCCATTGCACAAAAATACACCTGGCACCCGTCAGGACTCCTTCAAGAGCAGGATATAGACTTAATGTAGAGCTTTGCAAAGGCTAGGAACACGGGATTCAAACTCCACACAAGGGAAAGGGTCTTCTCTTCACACACTGGCTGAATTCAGTTTGCATCAAGAGGCTGGGCTGTGGCTTCCAGCAAATCCTGAAAGGTTCTGCATCACTGTGTCAAGGATGCTGAAACTGCTTTAAACGGGTGGGGTCCAGGGAGGAATGGGCACCTTCCTGGCCATGCATGTGTTGAAGCACAGTGGGTGGGTCTGCCTGGGCGACATAGCGAGACCTTTTCTCAAAAAAAAAATTAAAATTTTAAAAATACAAATTGAAAAAAACTTTCTATACTTTAAAATAAGCTGATATAATTTTTCTATATTTATTTCCTTTTCTGTTTCTCAGAATAATATTCATAGGTTGAAATAATATGGTTGTGCTCACATGATAACTGCAATTTTATATCTCTCTATTTTCCCTTGGTACTTTAAATAAGATTTCCCTTGTTATCACAGGCTCTTGAAGAATATATTTAATATATTTGTAGTATTATGTAGAAAGTCCTGTTGGGCTTAATTTAGTTTAAATTTCCACAACTGTTAGACAATTATTTTTATAGTTATTTCCAATTTTTCTTGATAAATAACACTGCAGTGAAAATCTTTAAAGAATAGGTTTTAATTGAATTTTTGCTAATACTGTCTGCTCAAAACAAAATTAATATTATCTGAGTCCCTGTTCTGAGATTTCCTCCAAGTCTTTACAAAGTCCTGTACAACAAACATTCTTCTTTCCTTTCTCTTCCTAGGGAAATGTTCCTTATCCTTCATGACCTAGCTCAAATCCAATCATTTGTGACACTTTCCTGGGTCATCTAAGACTTCCTAATAACTGCCTTCTGTGGGTTCACACAGAACTTTGGCTACAAATCACAGCATCGCATTGAGGTGACCTGGCTCAAAACTTACTTCCTTGGAGGGCCCCATGATGTCCCTGCCAAAGCTAGATCAGTCCCTTTGTTAAATGTTCTGGTGGTGGCTCTAGAATTATCCTTCACAGCATATATTATAATTATAGTTAAATGATGAATTGGGTAATTATTTCTTCATGCCTGCCTCCTTCATTGGAATATAAGCACACTGTTTCAATATTCTCATGCTCTGCCCTCAGAGCATTACAACTAGTTGGTGCTCAGGAAACGTCTATTCACTAAATGAATAGAAGGATGGATAAATGATCTTCCAAAAATATTTTAAACATAAAAAGCATCTAGAGAGGAATAAAATATGAAGAAAGAGTCCTCTTTACTCAGAGAAATGTTTCCATTTGCTCATAATCTACACCAGTTTTACAGTCAACATGCATTGTGGGATTATTATAAGCCAAGTGCTGTGCTAACCTTTTTTACTTGCTCTATTTCATTTAAAGATAATATTGGTCTTAGGAGACGCATACCACTAAGCCCTTCTCTTTATTTTGCGATGAAGAACTGGAGGCTCAGAGAGACTACGTAATTGCCTATGGTCACACAAATAGTAAGTGGTGGAGGTAGAATTTGTCTGACTTGAATTTAAGTTCTCAGCCATTGCCTTTAGTCTATTTGGGCTGCTATAACAAATGCTATAAACCACGTGGCTTATAAACAACGGAAATGTGTTTCTCACAGTTCTGGAGGCTGGATGTCAGAAATCATGGTGTCAGCATGGTCAGATTCTAGTGAGGAATATCTTCCAGATTGCAGATGACTGCCTTCTTGCATCTTCACATGGTGGAAAGAGAGCCAGGGAACTCTCTGGGGTCCCTTTTATAAGTGCACTAATCCCATTAATGAGGGCTCCACCTTGACAACCTAATTACCTTCCAAAGGCTCCACTTCCTAGCATCATCACATTGGGAGTTAGGATTTCAACATATGAATTTTAGAAAGACACAAGCATTCAGTTCACTGCAGCCACTATGTGATATCTTCTGGAATGTTCTGTCTTAACACTGAACCAGAATTTCTTTCTGGATAACCTCTCATTCAGTGCAGTTGGGTCTCTACAGCCATGGAGAACAGGCTAGGTTCTTTTCACCATAGCTGTCCTCAGTACACAAAGACTCATCCTCTGCCCAAAAAATCCCACTCCAGGTGTAATCATTCCCAATTCCTCCAGCCATTCCACTTGGGGCTAGAACGTTAAGTTTTCTGAACTTTGGCGCTTTTATTTTCACTTGAGTAATTTACCTTTCCCTTGGAGAATTAGTCAGTTCCTACATCTGAAAGAGGAAAGGGTGAATAGCAGCAAAAAGAATTTAAAAAAAAAAAAACCAACAACAAATGTGTTGTGATCTCTTCTTCACTGAAGAGAGGTGACATAGCACAATGATTGAGCCCATAAACTCTGGAGACAGACTGTTTAGGTTCAAATCCTGGCTCTACCACCTACTGGCCACATGAGCTTGAACAATTACATAAATTCTAAATCAGCTCAATTGAACTCCTGGACTGCTGAGTGCACCATGGCTAACAGAGATTGAGTAACCACCCTCCTGGCCATCTTCTTACAGCCAAGAAAGGCTTCTACCTCCTGACACCCTAGACATATTTGCTGAGCACTTCCTAGGCTCCTGCTGTTATAAGCATTTTGCCTGCAGGAACTCATTTTGTCCACACAGCAACCCTATGAAGTGGATCCTCTTATTATCCCCACTGCACAGATGTAGTAAAGGCCCCCCGGGAAATTGTCATGTCCAGGCTCCCTCAGCTGATAAGTGGAGGAGCAGGTAGTCTAGCTGCAGAGGCTGTGCTCCTAACCACTCTGTCCTGCTGCCTCAACTTTATAAACCCATCTTTAGGGACCTTCACAGTCTGCACGCTTGAACAATTCACCTCATATTCTTCCACTCTGAGCGATTTGACTCCTCTGACAAACTCTTATCTCCTGGACAGTCTTTGCCATCCTTGCCTGCCCTCTCTTACGAGGGTTATTAAAATTGGAGCATGGCTCATGGTGATTGATGGCCCAGAGGCTGATCATTCACTACCTCTCCTGGCTCATGGTAAATATTTACTTTTTGTTACAGAGGAACAATGAGGTTTCATACAGGAGATGGATGTTGAGTGTATATATGATATTATGCTTGTCTGACTCCTTTGAATACCCAACTCTCATTTCCCTGGCTTATTCCGGGAGGGGAGGAGGTGCCACAAGGTGAGCTGTTTGACTTTTCAGAGGGGGCTCAGGAGGTTTGCAAGCTGGATGGATTTCTTTTTTTCTTACTGAAGGGCTAGAAACATAGTCTCTCTCAGTAATTTAAGATCCAGCCAGGAGTCATCAGTAACACAAGTATCAACGGTTGCATTATTTACCTAATATTTTTCCTTAAACTGACTCACATTTTAAACACAGATACATAATTTAGCCTTGCCCTAAGCAATAATGTCCCTCAAGTCATGGATGTGATATGCTAATTTCACTAACACATATTGCTGTATGTATGTAACTGTTGAAATGTGAAATGCTTTTTCTTGTCCTTGTGAATGTGTCTCATTAGGACTAGGCAATGGGTGACTTGTGTGCCGCTCTCAGCCCTGGCACCTCCTCGCTCTGTAATTCTTTACAGGTCGCAGCTCTTTTCTGCACCTCCATCTCGCCATCTACAAAATGAGCAGGCTCTTAGCACTCCATCTTTCTAGTCTTTGTTTTCTCTTTCCAGCTCCAGGTAATGTTTATAACAGGAACATAAGAGTTCATATAGGCGGACAGGTTAATCTAAAAATTTTTCTCACTTACAGAAAGGCAGTTTCCAATCTTTACCTTGGAAGTAGGTTGGTAGTTCTTGTCATTCATCTATTATTGCTACTCAGAGAAATACATGAGGAGAGATGAAGCAACTGAAAGGTCCTGTAATATAGTTAGAATAGAGTCTGAGAGGTGGATGAAGGGGGGAAAGAGACAGAACAGGAGTGGGCAGCTATTGAATTGCAAATCCTGCTTTCTAAGGACATTCCCCAAACTTTCAGCTGATGTGTCTCCTGGTTTTCACCTCCTCTCTTGTCCTCTTCCTCTTTTTCAGCTCTTCTCCACCCTTTCTCTCTCTCTCTTCTGCCTTTGGACCTCCTTTCCCTTCCTCTCTCCTTTCCCTTCGTTTCACCACTAATTTTCTATTACATGTGGCAACATGAAAACATGTGTTTCTGTTTCTACAGACTCAGACAATAAGCCTGGTATTATTTTAGAAAATACAATTTCTGAGAAAAAATTAAATATATATATATATATATATATACACACACACGTATATATATACACGTATATATATGTATATATGTGTATACATATATACACACTCTCTTGAGCCAAATATATATATATATGTATATATATGTATATGTGTGTGTGTGTGTGTGTGTGTGTGTGTGTGTGTGTGTGTGTATATATATATATATATTTGGCTCGAGAGAACTTTGGCAAGAGGAAGGATGTTTTTGACCCTGGGTACTCCTGTCTCCTTCCCCCTGCCTGTCCTCTGCCTTCCCTCTGGTCCTCACAGCATGGGCTCTGGGGCGCCAGGGACAAAGCTTACCTGTTCTCTCTCCTGCTGCTATATCACAGCTGAAAGGACCTGAGATCATCTCAGCTAAGCCTCTTATTTTTCATGTGGGGCAACTGAGGTTCAGAGAGGAGAAGGACCTGCCTTGGCATACCATAGTTTAGTTTGGAGGCAGGGATGGGGCTAGAATCTCGATGTTGAGACTCCTGCACCTGGTTCTTGCTACTCTATGGCTTTTGCTAAGTGATTCCTGCCGTCCTGGATCACTCTGTCCTGACAGATCCTTGTTAGAACCACGTTTTCATACAACCTAATAACAACTGGTCATTCTCCTTCCAAGCACTCTCACTCTCGTATCTAGTTAATTCCTTCTTTACAGATTGTGGCTCATGCCTGCCTTTCCTTTTATTTTAAGTGCCATGAGGGCAGGGATAACTTTTTAAATCCCAGTTCCCATAGTAATAATAACAGTAAACACTTAGTTATTGTATTAGTTAGGCACCTATCTTGGGCCAGGCTGTGATCTGAACACTCCATGTGTTTAACTTATTAACAACCCCATAAGACAGGTGCTGTGGTTATCATCTTCATTTTACAAATAGGAAACTAATATGTGAAGAGGTTAATTAATTTGCCAAATTTTTCACACTGCTAAGTGGCAGAATGGGGGTTCGAACTCCCACAGCCTCATTCCAGAGGGCCTCCCTCCCCTCCACACTATACTGCCTGTCACACAGCAGATACTCAACAAATACATATTGATTCCGTGCTCTATTTTGACTGTGCTTTTCAGGGAATACCCTACATTCCAATGTGAGTAAAGACCTGATGTTTTGAAACTCTCAGGGAGCAGGAAGGAAATAAATTTATTTTGGAATCAGGGTTCTTAAGCTTTAGTGTGCTTGTGATTTTTTAGGATGCTCGTTAATGTAGATTCCTTGGCCCTGTCTGGGACCTTTTCTTACACAAATCTCTGGTAGTGGGTCCTGGGAATTTGAATTGTTAGCTGCCATCCAGGTGATGCCAGTGCAGGTAGCCTGGAGATGACAGTTTGGCAAACACTGCTTTAAAAGTCCTTCATTAAATATGTCAGTCTGAGCAGTGGTACGCCACTCACTGGAGATCTGAAACTGGTGCAACAACATCTATCTTTTCTGCTTCCCTTACCTAGGGAGTGGGTTTTAGCTCATTAAGTAACAGTTCATGAGACTTCTAGTGGGCTGGGGGCAAAACCAACAGGGGAAGCAGCATCTGTTAAATGACTGCTACTGAACCAGGAGCTACTTTGTGTTAGAGGGCATTGTTAGCCCTCATTTTGATGCCAGATGCTCAGCAGCCATGGGTGGCTTCTCCTCTCAGGAGCACTTCAGTATGGGGTCTGGTGGTGAGAGGGCTCACTGGTGTTTTGAGATCCATAAAGTGATTTCATTTGACCTAGGAGAGGAGACATCAGTGAGATAAGACAGGATGATAGGGACCTGCTCTTTCACATTTGGACACTATGGTTTTTGATGCACTGCCTTAGAACACAGAACTCTTCTCCTGGCTAAGGAGAGGCTCATGCCCAAGGAGGGAGAAAGCCATTGGAATAGGTGGCTTGTTACATGTTCACATGAGCGGTCCTGTTGTTTTACTTCTACAGATATTCTCTGCTCTCTGTGGATACCATTTACAGAAAACTTATAACTGCTCTCCTGTTTCTCCTATTTCTTGTAACAATTTCCTCATCCACTTACCTTCCTTCGCCTTGGCCATGAAGCACTTGCTGAGCACCTCCTTTGTCGTAGGCACTGTGTGAGGCACTGGGGACTTGGTGTCCACGACAAAGTGCTGCTCTCATGGAGTTTCCACTGCAGTGCAGGCTTAGAGTTCTTCCTGCTTCCTGTTACCCTGATTCCCAGTCTCTTCCCTGTAACTGCCAAATACTTCATTGTCTCATTCTTTTATTATCCAAGATAAACAAGCATGTATCCTACTCTCTAACTCAGACGTGTGTGTGTGTGTGTATGTAATATATAGGTACATACACATACCTGTATATAAACACATATGTACATATAAATACATGTATGCATATACACACCTACATATACATATATCTTTAGCAAGCAAATGTTGACTCTCAAAGGTCAGGGTCATCATTTTATTATTATCTCAACCAATATTTTTGGGTGCCTACTATGTGCTAGTCACTATGTGAGTGAAGCCAGACTCTGTTTTGAGGCTCAAGGAATCCCTTCCCAGTTCTTCTGAGGGGGGCTACATCCCTGCTTTTCAGAGCAGAAAGAAAGAGAAGGAACTTTCAGGCAGCTGTTTGTTTCTCTTTATTCGCGTCATTTATTAGAAAGAGTCATGGGACAAGAAAAGGTCCCATTGTGTTCACAACTAAAAAAACAGATTATTAACCCTACTGGAAAATCATGTTCTATGTATATGTAATTAACCTGTTTCCTGTTCAGAGGATCCTAAAACCCAACAAGACAAACCCCAGATACCATCTTGATACAGATGTGGATGCTTTTACCCCATCCTCGGAAGTCCCCAGCTATAAAACACTGCATTTTGTGAAATTTATTGGCAACAAATTAGCTTAGATTTATTGCAGATTATTGATTTCAGCATTCAAAGGTTAATGAAGTTTGTGTCTTCATTCAGCACTTCTGCTTTGGGGAGAATAATGAGATTGCCTGAAGACACAAACCATTCAATTAAAACAAACAGATGACGATAACGTGCATCTTGGCTGTATTCTGATACTTTTTTCCTCCCCCTTCTCTTTGCTTTTCTTTCTCAACATATTCTAATTTCTCAGTTGATTTTTATTTTCACATGTGAGGAGATGATTCAGGTGATCCCAGGCTGCACTGTTACAAATTATAGGTAATTTCTTCCTGGACCCTATGTAGGGAAAGGGAGTTCACCTACACAGTCTATCAAGGGTTCTTTCTTCTGATAACCTACAGACATCTCTGCGTCTCCATGATAGAAATGCAAACTGAGTAATGCTCAATTAGAAACCCTAGACCAACAGAAAGATGCAACTGCACTGTGATAAGTGGGAGGCTGGAGGAGATGGAAGAGGTATTGCATTTCCAGAGAGTGGCTAGCAACAGACTTTTGGCTGGGCTTAAGTAACTTCAAACAATTGTTTCTCTTTGACCGCTACAGATTTTCTGGCTTCATAATCTATTTATGAACAGTTTTGCTTCCGTTTTCATTATGTGTGCTAACACAGACTTTCTATAGAGCACAGACTTTACCAAGTTTATTAATTTAATTCTAGATAAAATGATAAAGCATCCCGAGAGCTTGGGGTCTGCGTTCTTCAAGGTCTTTGTGAAGAATGCCACAGCCTGGATTCATGAAGAATAGTTTCTCTCCTCTCTGTATCTGGCTCAAAGCCTTATTAAAACACAAGCCTGGCTCTCTAGTGAAGAGCCACCCTGGATGCCACTGGAAATTATTTTCTTAACAGTAACTTTATGTCTATCCAAAGACAAATTACATTTTTGCTCAGGCATTCCTTTAATAGCTTCTCTTAGGTTTAATTTTTACGGGGGCACAGATGGAAGACAAGTTACTGGACCAAGTTTATGTTTTAGTCATGGAGTGTTAAGGCTGAGAGGAAGCTTAAAGTTCATTTGGGGCCTCCCTCTTATTTTGCCATCGGGAAAATGAAGTGCAGAAGGGAAATCTCAAATCCAACACTGTGCAAAGCCAGCTCCCTGATTCTTCTGTCCACGAGAAAATGCAGGTGCTCTAGTGCTATGCTGATAAGAACCACCTTGAAAGCCCTGAGGCTGTCTTTACTCCTGGACTGATTCCTTGGAGGCCATAGATTATCCTGTATCTTTTTCCATTGCCTGTCAGCCACAAGCTGTTGCTGTAAAACCACTCAGAATGCATTTTGGTTGTGATGGGAGTGCACTAACTCAGTGAATTTCAGCTGAAATGTAATTCTTGAGAGCATATGCAATTAGCAAAGCTAAAATCTGGAAAATGTTGAAGACCCTGTGGAGTCTCTTAGAATCTCAGACCTTGAGTTAGAAGACATCCTAGAAGTAATCTAGCCTGGCTCACAATTTAGTGTACTTCAATCCTCTTTGTAATATAAACCCTTGGACACAAGTGAAGGTACTAAATCCAAGGCCTAAAGCACATTTCTTAAGTTTTTAATATTGGAGGACTTTCTGCAATGCTATTCCTTTCCCAAGATTTTTCATGCTATCTATCCCTGAAGTAGCATTCAGGAGCCAGGCTTGTTACTAATGGAGCTTACACAAATATAACATGGTCTCCAAAACTTTGCCCTCTTTGCATGAACATTAAGTAATGCCTTAAAGAAACTTTTGGTATGACCTCTTTGCTAGCCATGTGGCCATTCTTGTCAACCAGAGATTTCTGCATTTCTAATGGAACCCAAGAAAGAAAAGACCCAGAATGATATGACCCCCATGTCCTTGAAGAGACAGTTGAGAAATATGACAGTGATGGTACAATTTTCTAAAGCTAAATGCAGTGATGTTGGAAACTCTTAAAATAAGTATTTTGCATTGATGCTACAAACAGCTAAATCCCACAGGAGAGTATCATAGGTAATATTATGCATTGGAAGGGCATGCACGTCCAGCTAGTGGGAGTGCTGCTGGTGCAAAGCTCTCAGCTGTCAACCCCTCCAGGAATTGAAGAGATCCATCTTGTCCAAGGTTATGTCCACTTCTTGGGGATGAGGGTCATCCAATAACTAATTCATATGGGGTATAAAACCTTGGCCCTCTACCTCCAACCTGTACAACTCTGAAGAATCATGCCAGCACCAGAACTTCCTGTGGGGTCAACTGCGAATTTTACTGGGACTGCATCAGAGCCCAAATTTCTTGCTTTAAACAATCCTGCTTCCTTTCCTTCTCTTCCACAGGTGTTGACCCCAAGGAACCATCTTACTTAATCTTTTGCATACTGTCTTGTCAGCATCTGCTTTTCAGGAAACCCAACCTGCAACAGAGACAGCATCCTTTAGGATCACTATAGAATAGGCATCAGCAAATTCTGATAGGAATAATCTACTTCACTGCCTGCTTTTGTAAATAAAGTTTTATTGGAACACAGCCACATTTATTCATGTGTATACTGTCTATGGCTGCCTTCCTACCACAGAGATCATATGAGTGTGGTCCACAAAGTAAAAAATGTTTATTATCTTGACCCTTCGCAGAATTAGTTTACTGATCTATGCTACAGAATCCTGGGTAAAACAAATATCAGATGATAGAGAAATCTAGGACAAGAACCTCTCAGAACATTATGTATTCTAAATGGAATTTTAAGCATCTGTTTTACCAAATAATATTTGATCTGTTTCTCTCTAGTCATATTCACGTCCACACTTTTCTCTGACTCTTTACTGGGCTGATATGGAGAAAATGAAGGACATTAATTTCTGATCCTAAGTTTGGGTTTTGACATAATAAAATGGCTGGCTTTCTACTGTGCTTTACAGCTTACGAAAGCATTTTTGCATACTCATTCTCATTTATCTTGAGTTAGACAGGGCAGGGTTCACCAGTTTCCCTTGACTGATAAAGAAACTGAGGTTCAAAAAAGTTAAGTTATTGCCTATGATCGTGCAGTTGTTTTTAAAGCCTGGACGTTTTGTTTCATATTTTAGTTACTTTTCCATTTGTTATCAAAGTAATAAGCAGTGAGGAGGCTAAAGGTGATTTTCTGAAGGAGAAAAATTTATCTTTTCTCAATTCTTGTTTATATATTAATTCATCAAACATTTATTGTACAGCACTGACTCAGTCAATATGTTCAAAGATTGGTATCTTGAAAAGGTTCTACAGATGATTCTAATGCACTTCCATGGCTGGGGATTGCAGGGCCATGCTGTGATTGTTAATGTCTAAAGTTATTAGGTGGTGCAAAAGTAATTGTGGTTTTTGCAATTAAAAAAATGCAGAAACTGCAATTACTTTTGCACCAACCTAATAGTATGTTTGAGTAGGGCTTGCATTTATGAGGAGACACTTTTAACACCAGAGAATAATACCTTCTTGCTTTTCTTCTTTTGATTATCAATCCAAAAATCAATTATGAAGTGCCCTTCAGGTATCAGGCACTGTATGAGAAAATGGAGATAAATGATAAACTAAGAATGGTTCTCGCCTTATGGAGCTCCCAACCTATACGGAAGAGGGACTATTAAGCAAGTCATAACCATAAGAGGGTCAGGTACTGGATAGGGGCAGTAAAGGGTGCTTCTGATGGGCCTACCTGTCATAGGTGGGATCTGGGAGAGAACATTTAAATGCAAGCCAAAGTATGAGTAATAGTTACCCATGTGGAGAGGCAGAAGTGTGTGCTAGGTAGAGAGAATAGGATATTCAAAGGTTCAGGGATGAGAGAGAACATGATATAGTGGTAAAACTGACTGAATTTTATTCCAGCTGAAGTATAGAATGGAGGGGAAGATTGGTGAGAGATGAAGCTGAAGACACACAACAGATAGGTGCAGTTCCTGAGCTATTGCCTGCAAGCCACAGCAAAGAATTTTATCCTTATTCAAAGGGCATCAGGGAGACCTTTAAGGGGTTTAAATGGTAGAACAGCACTTATTTTTCCATAAGAAAAAAAAAACAGCTGTTAGCTAAGTCCAAGGTAGCTGTTTTCCACGGACAAGTCAATGAGACATAGAGACTGATTAAGGAAGCCAAGGTTAGAGTCACCATCTGTGTTTGCAAGCTAAAGTGGAGCTCTACACTTTCCAAGTGCAATGCATTTTCTTTCATGACCTCTAGACCATTTCAGTACCCGCAGTCAGAAACAATTCAAGCCCTGCCTGCTCTGCCATTGTCAGTCTCACTTTTGTAAACACCATAGACCTATTTTCAGTGGCTTTCCTCCTTTGTCTCAGAGACACAAGTGAAAGGGCATTCTGCTATCTAGGACTTCTCTCTGTTTATCAGCCTTTTGATTAAAGTCACTCGGAGGCCCTTTTCTTTGAACGAAAAAGATCTTCCTTGAAGGGGCAAGAGTGAGTCATTTCTGTTGAATTCATGTATTACTTAGGCAGAAAGCAATGTTCTACCGAAATTACACCTGATTACAGACCATCACACCACTGCCCAGGGAACCCATTCCTCCCTTGGTAATGGGCCTTAAGGTTGTCTGTCCTCAGAAAGCAACAGGCAGCTGAAGAGAAGGGCAGATTTATACTTGATGCCGAAAATCTCAGTTGAGTAGGTTCAACACCCTAAATTACTTATGAGCCTGCAGGCATGACTCAGGGAGAGGCTACAGATTGGGGAGTTCATCAGTGCCCTCCACTTTTCATCAAATGAAAGGGTAAAAAATTGTTTCTCATATTGGAGAGGTAACGTTTCTTTTCTGAGCTTTTACTTATTTTCCTTATTCTCCTTAGATCTTGCAAGACGAATATATAAATGATGGACAGGAAAGTTTTACATTATAAACCATCTAGTGAGATAATGTGAGATGAGAAAGCCTTAGGGAAGGTTTCGAAAGATCCTTAATTTCTATGTGTTTGACGATCTTCCTGTTGCCTTTCTGTTATTCATTTCCAGTTTGATTTCACTATGGTAGAGAACATACTCCGTATGATTTCAATTCCTTTATATTTGTTAATGTTTGTTTTGTGGCCCAGGATGTGGTCTATGTTGGTGATTGTTCCACAGTCACGTGAAAAGAATGTGTATTCTATTGTTGCTGAGTGGGATGATCTACATATGTCAAGTACATCTTGCCGGTTGATAGTGTTGTTGAATTCTTCTATATCATTGTTGATTTTCTAATACTTCTATTAATTGTTGAGAGTGGGATGTGTAAGTTCCCAGCTATAATTATGGATCTGTCTATTTTTCTCCAGTGCTTGTCAGTTTTTGCTTCACATTTTTTGCCTCTCTGTTGTTTGGTATATCCACAGTTAGGATTGCTGTCTTCTTAGTGGAATGACCTTTTAATTATTATGTAAGGTCCCTCTCTATCTCTTGTAATTTTCTATGCCTTTACGTCTACTTTGTCTTATATTAAAAGTCATCCCACCTTTTAAAAAAGTTGTTTGCACAATATATGTCTTTTTCACCCTTTTATTTTCAACCACCTATGTCATTATGTTTGAAGTAAGTTCCTTGTAGACAGTGTAATTAGGTCATGATTTTTTTGGCAATCTCTGCCTTTCAGTTGGTATATTTAGACCACTTACAGTTAAAGTAATTATTGGTATATTAGGGTGTCAGTCTGCCACTTTATTTATTTTCTGTTTGTTTTCTGTGTCTTTTTTCTCTGTTTATCTTTTCTTACTTTCCTGTGGATTATTTTACATAGTACTGAAAGCTCTGCCCAGTGGAATAAGGCAAGAAAAAGAAATAAATGGCATACAAACTGATAAGGAAGAAACAAAACTGACTTTGTTTGCAGATGACATAATTGTGATAAAGGCTGGAAGGGATGTAGAGAAACTGAATTACTCAATAATTGCTGGTAAGAATATAAAATGACATAGTACTATATTTTGATTTTAGTGTTAGTTACCAACGCTGCATATCAGAAAAAATTACATGAAACTATGCACACACATACATACACACAATGTGCATGTATCTGAATAAGGTCTGTGAATTATACCGACATCAATTACCTGGTTTTGTTATTATACTATAGTTATACAAGATGCTAACACTGAGGGGAGCTTTGTAAAAGGTACACTGGACCTTCCCGTACATTTCTTTGCAATTTCCTGTGAATCTATAATTAAAAATGTAAAAGTTAAATACCAAATATAATAAAAAGTTTAAAAGGTATTTAGCTATGAATACATAAATATTCACACTTGTGTGTGTGTGTGAAACTGCTCAGTTTGTTTTATTCTTCTCAGTTCCTTATCCTTATCAGACCAGTTGGGATGCAGATGGGTTCTGGGGTACCTAAAATGAGGGAAGATGATCCCTTTCAGACTCATCTAGAATCCATTTTTAAGGATATGGGGAGCAGAGAGAGATTAACTCCACCAGCTGAGCCGGTGGACTTGGGACAGCTCGTGGAAAGACTGTAGTTTAATGTGCTGCTTTCCAAATTTTAAGGTACATTAAAGGGGAGCTAAATGGACCCCACTCTGAGAGATTCTAATTCCAGTCTCTGTGGGGTATGTATCAATCTATGTTTTAAATAAACACCAGGTAATTCTGATGTCTGTGGTTCTCCAACCACACTTAAAACCCCATCCATGTAGTGGGTTAAAATCCTACGTCTGCTCTTATTTACTGAGTGAACTTGGGCAAGTTCTGAGCCTCATTTTTCTTATCTGTAAAATAAGAGTAATATCTTTGTAGGATCAGTACAAGCTGATAATCAAGAAATAGTTGTGATGTCATTGTTAGTATCATTATTTTCATAATCATTATCACCATTAATGATACTGGCATGCAGAGAGTCTGTCCTTAATAAAAATGTCTTCCTCAAGGATAATATGCTTGTAATATTGCATTAAGATGTATCTAATATGTTATTATTTAGCACTATCAGAGCTTTTGATAAAGTGAGTTTGATGACCTTGTAGATAAATGAGGAGGCTTCTCCAGGATGGTCACTGGGCAGTGGTGCTGGGGCCTTGAGAGTCCAGTTTTGCTGCCAGGAAAGGTCAGGGTTATGGGAAGGTGTTACTGCCTAAGGGCAAGTGAGACATGCATTCAGGTAGCTTTCCTGGTGACTGACAGGCAAGGAATCATGGCAGAGAAACTTCCTCTTGAGGGAAGTCTACAAAGGCCCCTAAAATTTGGAAGAACAGATTGGGAAAATGTCAGAGATAATGTCATTATGTCCTCTGTCACAATGGGAGTGTTTTCACATGTTCGCTTATTGAACGTTACTGAGGATTCACCGTACAAAAAGCAATGGGTGATATACTGGGGGCTGTGTCGGTAAAAATGCTGGCTTAGTATTAACCCCTCCCATGGAAAGGAGATCCCAGATACACTGCGGTTAAACTTTATGCCTTTTGCCCCTAGTCACCAAACACAAAGTAAATTCGCTTAGCTTTGGTCTCCTAGAACAATGGCAGCACAAAATAAGGTAAATTCACTTATGGAAGAGCAGAGAACGTTACACCTCTTGTACATATGAGTTGGTAGACTGAGATATGTACCTACTTCAGACACATTTCCTTCTGAGTTTCACAGCCATTCTCCAACCAAATTTAACGTAAGTTTTGACTAGCCCAAGGTTAACACACTTAGGCAGAGCCAACCTACCTCTCTAAGCCTCCCTGACCACCCAATCTAAAGGAGGTTTCCCCTTCCCAATATTCTCTCACCAAACCTTGCTCTTTTCTATACAGCCCTCACAAATTTTGGAATGATACTGCTCATTGCTGTTTAAATGTTTACTTCCTGTCTCCTCCACTATGCTATAAACCAGCAGAATGCCTGGAACATAGTAGGTGTCAATAAATATTTGTTTACTCAATAAATAAGGATTTGGCTTCAAAAATCTGTGCTTTTAGACACTATGTTATATCACATTACAGATTGTAATTTGATCTTCTTAACAATTCTTTGAGGTTAGGATCATTAATAAACCTCAGGTTTATTCACAGGTGATGAAACTGAGACCCGGATGGATTACGTTGCTTACCCATTTGCATCCTGCTATTAACAATTGTGTTGAGACTTTAACTCAGACCTCTGGACTTCAGGTGACATGTTTTGCCCATTGCACTAGAGATGAGTACCTCCTGTTTCTGATAGCACCAGAGACCCAGAAAATGCAGTTTCAGCTGAGTCAGCCCAGCCCAGGCTGCAGTGAGTGGGATTCTGTTCAGATCCCAGCTGGTTATACTGCTATCAATTTTGAAACAAGCCATAGTGCTCTCTCTAGCATTTCCAGAATGCCAACACAGCTTGTGATTTCAGGATACTTGTTCTACAACCAGAAACTCAGGTGATCAAGAGTCCAGGAAGCACACTGACATTCTGTCCTGTATGCATTCCATCCTGAACCTCATGCTGGGGTAAACTGTTAGTCCCAGGCTGGGTGACTACCCTTAGGAGTATGTAAAGATAATCACAACAAACTGCTAAAAGGCAAAGTTGCAGAGAATGAAAATAGTGTGAATTCCTCCTACTCTTGAATTAATGGGAAATGTTTTTTCTGTCTCAAAAAAAGAAAAGCAAAATAGAATGTCTTGTTCTCTGCAGTTGATAAAAAGTTTTCATTTAAAAGGTTAAGTAAAGCCACTTACATGCCCTTATGTCTTTCAAAAGAGCACACTGTTCCTTCAAAACTTGAGGAGATACCATTTTATATGTTTCCAGACAGAGCCAAGGCTGTGTGTCTTCTTTGTATCATTACTTTTAATAATTCTTTATTTTATTGTCATAGTTTATAAAGCCACATTCCAAGAGTGTCATTTGGGGTTCCACAGGATCTGAGCTGGTTCTTGCAAAGTGACAGGATGTGTAGCACTTCTCTGTTACAGTCTTCCTTTAGGAGGCAACTATACCACCACTGTGAGACCCACAAACTGTCTTCAGTATCTAGCCTACACCCAGTTCTAATAGCATCAGAGATACAAATTTTAATTTTTTAAAGAAAAAATTGCTAATCCTTCCAAAATTAAAAAATACAACCATAGCAACCAATGTTTTTAAAAATCTTAAACTTCTACAATTTTAAGAAATATTCCATGGTCTGAAATTTATATTCTTAAGGCCAGCAATTGACTGATTATGTGTTGTCATGATCAGAAAGAATGGTGATTAATCAGTTTTACCTTCTCAAAAAAGAAAAAAAAAAAAAACTCTTTCCTCCTCCTCACTGTGGAGAATCATGTTTTTAAAAGAATAAAGAAAATCTATGAGAGTTATATAAATGCAGAAAGTACTGTGGTGTCATGAAAAACATACTGCAAAGCTGAGCCATATGTCCATGCATCAGGAAGGGAGAGGTCTGCAGAATACTCAGAAAAATAACAATTACAGTCACAAAGGGTTAGATTCACAGTTAAGTTAGAGAGGCAGTCATGAACCTAGAAAAGATTTTTAAAAGGTTATGATAACGGTAACTAGGAGCAAAACAAAAGGTGAGTAAGGTTAGAGAGGTAAAGATGAAAGTCTTTAGAGGGCAGGCATGGGACGGCAGCATAGAATATCAGAGATGGTGGTTCAAAGATGAGCAAGTCAAAGAGCATTGCCATGGAATGTGGGAGCAAAGTACAAAGCCAAGTAGAATTGCTTTAGCAAACCAGAGAGAAAATGAAGAACTGGATCCTCTAAACATGTTTTGAAGAATGCAGGACCCACATTAGAGATCAGAGAATTTATGCCTTCTCATGGCGAGAGAAATGACTTCAATGCCAAGTCAGTCTGGGCCAGAAATCAGAAGGTCAAATATCAGAACTATACTAATTTCCTCTGTCTAGAAGATCCATCCCATATTTTTAACCTGTAAAAGTCCTATTCACTCACCAAAGTCTATCTCAACTTCACCCACTGAAGTCTTCCCAGAACCCACTGGTTAAACTCCTCTCACTGTTTTTCACACTGTATGTTTCCTATGACTGTAGTCTACCCTGTATTACAGTTAATTCTGTATCATTGATTTGCTTACAATTCTCCTTTCAGAGTTTTCCTCTATGTAGCAACGGCAACTCCTGGCGAAGGTTCAAGAGAAGGGTTAGAAAGCGTCACTGCCTGAGGTCAAGTGGGACACGCATTCAGGTAGCTTCCCAGTGATTGACAGGCAAGGAGACTTCCTCTTGGGGGAAGTCTGCAAAAGGCCCTCAGAATTTGGAAGAACAGACCAGGGAAATGTCAGAGATAATTTTATTATGTCCCATGTCACCAGAGGAGTGTTTTCATATATTCATTTATTGAACATTATTGAGGATTTATTGTATACTGGTTTATTTATGCGGGTTAAAGCCATAGCAAGGGGAGAAATGATAGGTAGTGTCCATATCCAAAACTCTAATGAAAATGAGAGCCAGGCTCGGTGGCTTATGCCTGTAATCCCAGCACTTTGGGAGGCCGAGGTGGGCGGATCACCAGAGGTCGGGAGTTTGAGACCAGCCTGAACAACATGGAGAAACCCCATCCTTACTAAAAATACAAAATCAGCCAGGCATGGTGGTGCATGCCTGTAATCCCAGCTACTCAGGAGGCTGAGGCAGAAGAATTGCTTGAACTCAGGAGGCAGAGGTTGTGGTGAGCCAAGATTGCACCATTGCACTCTAGCCTGGGCAACAAGAGTGAAACTCCGTCTCAAAAAAGAAAGAAAATGAGGCTTTTCCTATTATCCATAACTGAATCTATGACCCAAATTACCTTCTTCTCAGTCTCCATACTTTCAGACTCAATAAGAACACTGTGTATTGACAATAATCATAAAAACTTGTATTTTTTTCCATCAAAACGGCACTAAAGGGCATTCAACTATTGATCCCAGAGAGCAGTTATCAGCATATGCCCTAAAATTGCAGATGCAGTTCTAAGTGCTTCAGTGCTCCTCCCAATCCACAGCCTCAGGAACACCCCGAGCTGACATTTCTCTGAGTGACATGAAAAATAAACAAGTCAACCTCACCACTTCCACCAACTTAAAAATTTGCATGGAATCACCATAACATGTTATGATTTTGTTTTAAAAGGATTACTTCTGACAGGTTCCCCAATCTCAACTGAGTATCTTTGGCATGAAGAAGCCTTCAGCTTCAAGAATAGCTCTGTTCATATAATGCCTTTTAAAACATAAATCAATAGGTACTTTTTCACCTCAAACAAGATCATGAGAAAAATCAGTTTTCATTTCTAAGGGACACAGGGAATCATATATGTCTCTCCTGGGGAATTTAAGATGGATATTATACATTACCTTGATATAATTAGGCCCTATATTATGGTCCTCTTGTTTTGTCCTCTGGCATACAGGTTCTTTAATGCCATCAGCCTAACTTTGAAAACTCATAGCTTTTTTCTTATTATATTAAATATGTCATACTCTTGTTAACATTTTTTTTAAAAACTCTAAGGAAAAAAAGAATAAAATAAAACTCACCCATACTTTTACCTCACTGAGATCTTCATCTTAATGTTTAGACACTTTTAACATTTATTTCTCCAAGAGTTTTATAAGTAAGAACATTTTGGTAATTCCTTGCAAATTACTTTTTTAACAAATGGAACAAATTTGGTTGACTTGGCTTGCTTACTTTTCTCTGTGAAGGTTCAACACTGTGATTACTCTCACACATTTTGAAACAAAGGCTCTTGGTACGTTTCAGTTCATTATTATTATATTGTGTTTATGAGGTAGTTACCAATCAAATCAATAGTGTGCTCACAATACATTTATTCTGTTTAACTGGTTGACTGCACCAGAAGGAGTTTAGGAGACCCAAGTTCTTGTCCAGCTCTTTGACTATTTAGCTGCTTGATTGGTTGCTTCACCTCTCACGCCACCACCATCACCATCATGCTAAACCTCAGTTTCTTCATCTATAAATTAAAAAGTTTGAACTAAATTGTCTCTAAGTAACTTACAATTCTCTTAGTTTAAAATTCTACAGCCTACAGGGTCAACCAAAAGCTGGCTGAGAGATGGGGTTGTTATGAATGGCTCTGAGTAAACCCATGACTACAACAGGGAAAATGGAGGAGTTATACTTGTGACTAAGGGTTATTCCTTTAAAAGCATAGAAGAATAAAAACAAGCCTTCTGCTGAACACCGCTATGGCCAAAAGCACAAGTAAACAAACAAATAAATAAA
This sequence comes from Homo sapiens, assembly GCF_000001405.40. NCBI lineage: Eukaryota > Metazoa > Chordata > Mammalia > Primates > Hominidae > Homo > Homo sapiens. The sequence goes on along the minus strand of NC_000005.10, from coordinate 155,378,095 downwards.
TAACTAGCAAGCATATATTATAAGGTGTGAAATAATAGATCATGATCAAACACAAAAATATTGAAAGCAATTGCAACAAAATCAAAAATTGACAAAGGAGATCTAATTAAACAAAAGAGCTCCTGCACTAAATTCCTCAACACATACACTCTCCCAAGACTAAACCAGGAAGAAGTTGAATCTCTGAATAGACCAATAACAGGCTCTGAAATTGAGACAGTAATTAATAGCTAACCAACCAAAAAAAGTCTAGGACCAGATGGATCCACAGCCGAGTTCTACCAGAGGTACAAGGAGGAGCCGGGTCCACTCCTTCTGAAACTATTCCAATCAACACAAAAAGAGGGAATCCTCCCTAACTCATTTTATGGGGCCAGCATCATCCTGATACCAAAGCCTGGCAAAGACACAACAAAAAAAGAGAATTTTAGACCAATATCCTTGATGAACATTGATGCAAAAATCCTCAATAAAATACTGGCAAAACGAATCCAGCAACACATCAAAAAGCTTATCCACCATGATCAAGTGGGCTTCATCCTTGGGATGCAAGGCTGGTTCAACATAAGAAAATCAATAAACGTAATCCAGCATATAAACAGAACCAAAGACAAAAACCACATGATTATCTCAATAGATGCAGAAAAGGCCTTTGACAAAATTCAACAACACTTCATGCTAAAAACTCTCAATAAATTAGATATTGATGGGACGTATCTCAAAATAATAAGAGCTATCTATGACAAACCCACAGCCAATATCATACTGAATAGACAAAAACTGGAAGCATTCCCTTTGAAAACTGGCACAAGACAGGGATGCCCTCTCTCACCACTCCTATTCAACATAGTGTTGGAAGTTCTGGCCAGGGCAATTAGGCAGGAGAAGGAAATAAAGGGTATCCAATTAGGAAAAGAGGAAGTCAAATTGTCCCTGTTTGCAGATGACATGATTGTATATTTAGAAAACCCCATCGTCTCAGCCCCAAATCTCCTTAAGCTGATAAGCAACTTCAGCAAAGTCTCAGGATACAAAATCAATGTACAAAAATCACAAGCTTTCTTATACACCAATAACAGACAAACAGAGAGCCAAATCATGAGTGAACTCCCATTCACAATTGCTTCAAAGAGAATAAAATACCTAGGAATCCAACTTACGAGGGATGTGAAGGACCTCTTCAAGGAGAACTACAAACCACTGCTCAATGAAATAAAAGAGGACACAAACAAATGGAAGAACATTCCATGCTCATGGATAGGAAGAATCAATATCATGAAAATGGCCATACTGCCCAAGGTAATTTATAGATTCAATGCCATCCCCATCAAGCTACCAATGACTTTCTTCACAGAATTGGAAAAAACTACCTTAAAGTTCATATGGGACGAAAAAAGAGCCCACATCACCAAGTCAATCCTAAGCCAAAAGAACAAAGCTGGAGGCATCATGCTACCTGACTTCAAACTATACTACAAGGCTACAGTAACCAAAACAGCATGGTACTGGTACCAAAACAGAGATATAGATCAATGGAACAGAACAGAGCCCTCAGAAATAATGCTGCATATCTACAACCATCTGATCTTTGACAAACCTGACAAAAACAAGCAATGGGGAAAGGATTCCCTATTTAATAAATGGTGCTGGGAAAACTGGCTAGCCATACGTAGAAAGCCAAAACTGGATCCCTTCCTTACACCTTATACAAAAATTAATTAAAGATGGATTAAAGACTTACATGTTAGACCTAAAACCATAAAAACCCTAGAAGAAAACCTAGGCAATACCATTCAGGACATAGGCATGGGCAAGGACTTCATGTCTAAAACACCAAAAGCAATGGCAACAAAAGACAAAATTGACAAATGGGATCTAATTAAACTAGCTTCTGCACAGCAAAAGAAACCACCATCAGAGTGAACAGGCAACCTACAGAATGGGAGAAAATTTTTGCAACCTACTCATCTGACAAAGGGCTAATATCCAGAATCTACAACGAACTCAAACAATTTACAAAAAAAAAAAAACAAACAACCCCATCAAAAAGTGGGCAAAGGACATGAACAGACACTTTTCAAAAGAAGACATTTATACAGCCAAAAAACACATGAAAAAATGCTCATCATCACTGGCCATCAGAGAAATGCATATCAAAACCACAATAAAATACCATCTCACACCAGTTAGAATGGCAATCATTAAAAAGTCAGGAAACAACAGGTGCTGGAGAGGATGTGGAGAAATAGGAACACTTTTACACTGTTGGTGGGGCTGTAAACTAGTTCAACCACTGTGGAAGTCAGTGTGGCAATTCCTCAAGGATCTAGAACTAGAAATACCATTTGACTCAGCAATCCCATTACTGCATATATACCCAAAGGATTATAAATCATGCTGCTATAAAGACACATGCACACGTACGTTTATTGTGGCACTATTCACAATAGCAAAGATTTGGAACCAACCCAAATGTCCAACAATGATACACTGGATTAAGAAAATGTGGCACATATACACCATGGAATACTATGCAGCCCTAAAAAATGATGAGTTCATGCCCTTTGTAGGGACATAGATGAAGCTGGAAACTAACATTCTCAGCAAACTGTCGCAAGGACCAAACACCAAACACTGCATGTTCTCACTCATAGGTGGGAACTGAACAATGAGAACATATGGACACATGAAGGGGAACATCACACACTGGGGACTGTTGTGGGGTAGGGGGACGGGGGAGGGATAGCATTAGGAGATATACCTAATGCTAAATGACGAGTTAATGGGTGCAGCGCACCAACGTAGCACATGTATACATATGTAACAAACCTGCACGTTGTGCACATGTACCCTAAAACTTAAAGTATAATAATAATAATAATAATAATAATAATAATAAAGAGCTCCTGCACAATGAAAGAAACTATCATCAGAGCAAACAGACAACCTACAGAAGGGGAGAAAATTTTTGCAATCTATCTATCTGACAAAGGCCTAATATCCAGAATCTCTACAAAGAACTTAAACAAATTTACAAGAAAAAAAAAATCCATTAAAAAGTGGGCAAAGGATATGAACAGACACATCTCAAAAGAAGACATTTATGTGGCCAACAAACATATGAAAAAAGCTCAACATCACTGTTATTAGAAAAATGCAAATCAAAACCACAATGGGATGCCATCTCATGCCTGTCAGAATGGCTAGTATTAAAAAGTCAAGAAACAATAGATGCTGGTGAGGCTGTGGAGAAATAGGAACACTTTTACACTGTTGGTGGAAATGTAAATCAGTTCAACCATTGTGGAAGACAATGTAGGGATTCCTCAAAGACATAGAGCCAGAAATAACATTTAACCCAGCAATCCATTACTGGGTATATACCCCAAAAAATATAAATCATTCTATTTTAAAGATACATGCACGTGTACATTCATTGCAGCACTATTCACAATAGCAAAGACATGGAATCAACCCAAATGCCCATCAATGATAGACTGGATAAAGAAAATGTGGTACGTATACACCATGGAATACTATGCAGCCATAAAAAAAAACAAGATCATGTTCTTTGCCTGGACATCGATGGAGCTGGAAGCCGTTATCCTCAGCAAACTAATGCAGGAACAGAAAACGAAACACTGCATGTTCTCACTTATAAGTGGGAGCTGAACAATGAGAACACATGGACACAGGGAGGGGAACAACACACTCTGTTTTGGGTGGTAGGATGGAAGGAGGGAGAGCATCAGGAAAAATAGTTAATGCATGCTGGGCTTAGTAACTAGGTGATGGGTTGATAGGTACAGCAGATCACCATGGCACACATTTACTTATGTAACAAACCTGCACATGTATCCTGGAACTCAAAATAAAAATGACGTTGTGGGAAAATTCTAAAAAAAAATTTAGAGATTTGAAAATTACTATGAACATCACAAAACAGGATAAAGGAAAGAAAGTAATGATTTGCTAGTGATACAATTGTCTACCTAGAATGCCCAGAAGAATTAACTTAAATTGGATTTAAGAATAGAGTTTAGCAAAATATATAGATACCAGATAAATATTTAAAATTAATAGCTTTTCTATATACTAGTAATAATATATTTAAAGACAGAATTTGTTAAAATATTTTATTTGTAAGAATGATGAACTATAGCCTACTTATGAATAATCATGAGGAAAAAGCGACATACTAAAAAATAGTTTAAAATACTAAAAATACTTCAAAAAATAGAAAATACTATAAAAACAATAAAAGAAGAGATGGATCATTCATAAATGATAAAGAGATTTTAAATCCTTAGCACAATACTTCAGGTCAGATACCAACATAAATTTTATTTTTATTTTTATTTTTGAGATGGAGTTTCGCTCTTGTTGCCCAGGCTGGAGTGCCATGGTGCGATCTTGGCTCACTGCAACCTCTGCCTCCCAGGTTCAATTGATTCTCCTGCCTCAGCCCCCTAAGTAGCTGGGATTACAGGCATGTGCCACCATGCCCTGCTAATTTTATATTTTTAGTAGAGACGAGGTTTTACCATGTTGGTCAGGCTGGTCTCAAACTCCTGACCTTAGGTGATCCACCCACCTCGGCCTCCCAAAGTGCTGGGATTACAGGCATGAGCCACTGCACCTGGCCAAATTTTAGATATATTAAAATGAATTAAAATATTTCTAACCTAGAAAAAATATAGGTATTTGTCAAATATATAAATGAAAAAATATAAATTCAATTGAAGGAATCACAAAAATAGAGTAAACAACTATAAAATGTAAACTTCTGTATTTTTTTAAAAAAATCAGAATTAAAAGGCTGAAATTTCACTTCTAGCCAAGATGATGTAACAGGCACCAGATTTATATTTCCACCTTAAACAATTAGAAAATTGGACCAAATATTTGAAACAAATTTTCAGACACTGAAAACAGGCAGTGGGGGACTGTAATCTCTGAGATAACAAACACGGTGAGCCCTACCATTGCAAACTTAAACTGCTTGGAGGCAATTTCCAAGCTACAGTACAGGGAAGGGGAAATCAAATAGAGCTTGGTGGTCTCGTTCAGTTGAGGAGATGGAGATAACATTTCACGCAGGGCTAGAATTTGTGGAGCAGGGGACTAGAGAACAATGATCTGTACAGGAACAGACGGCACAAAAATCCTGTCGAATCTCTGGCTGAGTGGTGATTTCTTCATTCAATAGAGGAAACTGCCTGCAGCCAGGAATAGAACCACCACAGTAGGAAAAATGATTCCATAAGATCAAACAGGCCTGGAAATGGTGCATATTCCTAATAACTAGATTGAAAACACCTCATAACATATAGGACAACAGATAGGAGCCTAGGAAAGAATCACCTTAACGATGAGGGTAAATTATGCCTAGACTAAAAGTTGCTATGGATCTGCCCTAACAAAACTTAAAAGAAAATTCTAAAGGATCCAACTGATTACAAGTAACTAAGCTAAAATCCAACATTAATATTTTTAAAAACAAGGAAATCTATCCATCAACAACATAAAATTCACAAGCTCTGATATCCGACTGAAAATTACCAGGCATGCAAAGAAGCATATAATCCATAATCAGGAGAAAAATAAATCCAAAGAAACAGACCCAGAAATGACAGAGATGTTGGCACTAGCAGAGACAGATGATAAAACTGCTATAAATATTGTCTATATGTTCAAGAAAGAAGAGGAAAACTTGAGCATGATGAAGAGAGAAAGACGTAAAAAAAAAAAAAATCTAAAACTTCTAGAGATGAAAAAAAAGTAGTATCTGAAGTGGAAAGTGAACCCAACAGGGTTAATAGCAGCTTAGACATAGTAGAAGAAAAGACCAGTTAAAATCGAAGACAGCATAAATGCTATCCAAAATGCAACACAGATAGATACCATTAAAATGCTGGAAAAACCTGTCAACCTCAAATTCTTTAGTAACTGAAAATATCTTTTAAAAATGAAAATTAAATAAAGGCTTACTTATACAAAAGACTGCTGAGAGAATGCATAACCAACAGGCCTGCACAACAAGAAATGTAAAATTTTTGCCATTTGAAATGTAATCAATACAATTCATCTTAACAACCTAAAAATGAAAAATTATATGATGCAGAAAAGACCAAATTCAATACTCACTCATGTTATTTAAAAAAAAAAAAAACTCATAAAACTAGATATTCCCCAGCCTTCTTTAAAAAATCAGATATTTGTTTTATTGTTTTTCTCTACTGTTTTCATTTTTCTTGATTTCTTCTCAGATCTTTACTATTTCCCTTTTTCTGCTTATTTAGGGTTAATTTGGTCTTTTTTAAGTATCTTTAGGCGGAAGAGTAGAAATTGATTTAAGATCGTTCTTCTTTACTAATAAAATTATTTAGTGCTATAAATTTTTCTCTGAGTACTGCTTTAACAGGATCCCACACAATTCAATACATTGTGTTTTCATTTTTCTTCAGTTCAACGTACTTTCTCATATCCCTTTTGATTTCTTTTTTATGCATGGGTTATTTAGCAGTATGTTATATTATTTCTAAATATTTGAGAATTTTCCAGAGATCTTTCTGGTTTGGGTTTCTAATTTAATTCTAATGTGGTTAAAGAACATACTTTGTATGATTCAAATTCTTTTGCATTTACTAGTATCCTAGAATAAGGTCTGACTTGGTAAACGTTCTGTGTGAGCTGGATGGGGACAGAACGTGTATTTTGCTTGGGTGGAGCATTCTATAAATACCAATCAAGTCAAGACGGTTGAGAGTGTTGTTCAAAACCTCTGTATTCTTACTGATTTCTGTCTACTTGTTCTACCAAATATTATGAGAAAAGTATTTAAATTTCTTAATATAATTGTGTAGTTGTCTGCTGCTCTTTGCAGTTCTAACAATTTTTGTTTTATGTATTCTGAAGCTCTGTTATTTGGTGTATAAACATTTAGAATTGTTATGTCCTCTTGATGAATTGACCCCTTTATAATTATAAAAATTATCATCTTTCTCCCTGATATTATTCTTTGTTCTAAAGGCTATGTGTCTGATATTAACATAACCAATCCAGTTTTCATTTGTTTAGTGTTAGAATATTATATCTTTTACACTTTTAACCTATCTGTGACTTTATATTTAAAGTAGGTTTCTTATAAGTAGCATATAATTAAGTTTTACTTTTTCATGGTCTAAATTTTCCAGTTGAAAGACAATCTCAATTTAGACCATTTACATTTGATGTGATTTTTAGTTAATAGATTGATTTCTATTTGCACCATCTGTTCTTTGCTCCCTTTTTCCATCTTTCAGGGATCAATTTCTCATGTCCAATATCTTGAAAAACCATTGTTTTATATATTTGTCTAGTTTTTGTTGTTGTTGTTGTTTCAGATGGGAGAATAAATGCAGTCCCTGTTTCTCTAAGTTGCCCAGAAGTGGAAGTCCCTGGCATAGCTGCTTTATTCTTAATAGCCAAAAAGCTGGAAACAACTCAATGCCTAACAACAGGTGAATGGATAAACAAATTGTATTATAGCCATGTAATGGAATACTACTCAGCAATAAAAAGGAACAAACTACCGTTATACACAAAAATACATATTTGTGATTAAAATAAAGTATGCTTACTTAAAGAAGTCAAACACACACACAAAAAAACTAATGTAAAATTTCATCTGTATGAAATTCTAGAAAAGACTAAATTAAAGTGACAGAAAGTAGAGCAGTGGTTGTCAGGTACCAGGGGTAAAGAGAATAGACTTAGTACAAAATGGCATAAGGAAACTTTTGGGATAATGAAAATGTCTCATATCTTGAGTGCAGTCGTGGTTACATGACTCAATACATTTGTCAAAACTCATTAAATTGCATGCTTAAAATTGGTGAACATTATTTTAGGTGAATTTTACTTCAATAAAGCTAGTTTAAAAAAAAAGTTTTAAAGGCCAACAAAAAAATGATGGCAAGGCAGAAGAAAATGTTTTCATGAATATGACAAACATAAAAAATATTTGGTATATAACAGATTGTACAAATCCATAAGAAAAACACTAACACTCAATATAAAGGGGACAAAAGAAATAAACAAGTTTCACGAGAGAGGAAAAAGACAAAATATTCAATGCTAAAGAGGTAGGGATAAACCAACATTGTCAACTCAATCTAGTGGAAATATAATTTGGCACAACTTTCTTGAAAGCAATTTGAGTACCCGGACAAGAATCTTAAATTATTCTTGCTTTTTGACCCAGTAAGACCATCTGTACCACAGCAAGATTAGTTATTGGAGCCAAAAGTAGCATGGAAAAACTTAATATTTATTAGGAAAGTTATTGAATACCTTGTAATTTATCTTTCAATTGTATATTTTATGATCATCAAAAATTATATTTTCAAAGAATTGCAATGACATAAAAATGATCTTGATATAATTGTATGTGAATAATGACAAAAGTATTCAACTTCATTTTCATTATTTGTAATTAAACAGTATATGTGTATGTGTGTGTGTGTGTGTGTGTGTGTGTTTGAATGTCTATAAGAAAATACACCACAAGGTTAGCAGTCTTCTTTCCAGACTGTGGAATTATGGGTGGTTTTTATTTCTCCTTACATCATTTTCTGAATTGTGGCATTATCCACATTGAGACTGCATTTTATATAAAAGCAAAATAAGATAAATGTATATATAAACATATAAGTGTCATTAATCATAGGACAAACAGCATTATTTTTAAGTACATCAATTTCTTGACAAACCAATATCATCACACATAAAACACAAATGATAAATTCATGCCTTTTTTGGAATTTTATTTCACATCTCTCATTAACATTGACTTATTCACAGCCATATAGAAAGTACAGTGTAAGACAATGTACGACAGTGAGAATACAAAGATCTACAAGCCAAAATCTCTGTCCTCAAGTAATCCACACCCTTAGGAGTAAGGTCAGTCTACAGAGATCCAACTGAAAGGTTGGAGAGGATATCAGTAGACACAGCTGCTCCAAGATTACAGACTAGGAAAGAAAAAGAATCTAATCTTTCATTAATTTGCTTATTCATTCAACAAATATTTATTGAGCACCTACTACTTTCAAGTACTATGTAATTTCCTGGTTTTGCAGTGGTTAACAAAATACATGTAATGCTTGCCTTCATGCACCTAGATGAGTAACAAATAGAAAGGTAAATATATAATTACAACTTGTGTTGTAAAGGAAACAAGCTAAATTCAATGAAAGAGAGTAACAGAAAGGGGAGGGATGTGAGAGGAAGAGCAAAGGAGATGCAAGGATCAGGGGTGGCCTCTATGAGGAGGTGGCATTTGAGTTGAGACTGAAGGATGTAAAGGAAACAGTCATGCAAAGACAGAGGAAGACCGTCAGACAAGACTGAGCTTGCATTTTCAAGCTTTCAAGACTGAAAGACCAGAATAGCTGGAAACAGTAGGCAAATAGGAGAGTGGAACACAAGGAGATTAGAGATGAGGCAGGAACCTGATTGTGCAGGGCCTTGCATTTTTCAACATTCAGAACAGACTGAAATCTGAGCTCCATATTTATATTGTTGGCATCTTTAAAAGTAATTTTTTAAAGGCAAACATGAATTTTAAGAGGCATTCTGGAAGGTACCTAGGCAGCTAGATTCCCAAGATGCTACATGAGCTTGAGCCAGCTTAGACCTTTCATTTTTCCTGTATGTAAAACGGAAGAATATAGAATAATAGGACTGTTGTGAAGGAAGCTGAAGGTTAAACATGTCATGTGCATTGAAAGTATTACTGTTCTGCAAAAAGCAATAATCAGTTGAGATAGAGGAAAGGGTTCTTTTGCATTAGAAATATAAATTTATTAGCTCTAGTTGGATGTTATTGAATGCTATCAAAAATAGCACTTCAGCATTGATTCAGAACTGTAGGGTGCACTATCAGCATAATTAAAATGAAAGAATCTAAGCCATTTCCCCATCTTGCTTCCTTATTATTGTCTAATTGTTCAGAATGTCTGTCTGTTATAGAGACAAAGCAATTAAGCCCAGCAAGTCGCAACAATGGGGATCATAAAGCGGGGGCCTCTTTCATTAGCAACTTGGATATCAGCATAGCAAACATTAAAGAAAGGAATGCAATTGTAATTGGAAATAATTGGATGGCACAGTTCACTTAGCTGGGGAAGATACGCTATCTGCATTTGGAGTCTCTTTTTCATTTCGTGGGTCTTTTTTCACCTTGGTTCTTCAAATTGAGTCCCATAAACATCATGGTATCATAGTTGAGGTACCATAGGGCTCAGTGAGTGCCAGGTTCTGCTTCAGATAATGGCACCTGTCCCCTGGGATTCCAAAAGAATTTTGTTTCATGTTAACTGTCAACTATCCCAGGAAGAAGAAGAGCAAGGAGTCAATGCTTCTGTTAAACATAAATTACCAGAATAAAAACTCCTATGTCTCTCTCGTCCCATTTCTCACAAACACAGAGCTGCCATCCAAAAACCCAAGATCTACTCTTGGAACATAAACAGTGATTATCTTTACAATGCAAGGGGTTATATTACAAGCAGAAAGAGTCATAAACATTTTTAGATCTGAAGATGACCAGAGTTTCAAACCCCCCACATTTAAAAGCTGACTCAGAGAAGAGATTGACTGACCCCAGATAAAAGGAGACAGAGAATTAGAAATGGAAAACACAGGTCCCCTAATAACAATAACAACATACTAATAATAGCTACTGAATTGTAAACACTGTTGAATACTTCACGTACATTATATCATTTAATCCAATGAGGTATGGAATTATGTATTTTATAGATAAGGAAACTGGTGCTTGGAGACCTTATGCAATTTGCCCCTATGGTAAAGGGGCAAAAAAAAAAAAAAATACAAGGATTAAAACTAGACGTAAAACTACGATTTGAACCTAGTTGTATCTAATTACAAAGCCCATGCTTACAACTGCTAAGTGATCCTACCTCCCTATACAATGTTCAAAACATGAAGCAAGTAATGAGTCCTACTATTTCCTGTCACCAAACCAAAAGCAAGAGAAAACAGTGATATAGGTGGGGAAATTAGCCAATTCCTTAGATAAGGGAACAGCAAACCATAGCCTGCTGCCTGTTTTTTTATATAGCTCATGAGTTAAGAATGGTTTTATATTTTTAAATGATTAAAACATATTGAAAGATGGATATTTTGTACTACATAAAAATTGTGTGAAACTCAAATTTTAGTGCCTATAAATGGAATTTATTGAAACACAGCCTCGCTTATTTATTTATGTATTGTCTATGGTTGCTTTTGAATTTCAGAGGCAGAACTGAGGAGCTGACAAAGACTGTATGGCCCACAAAGCCAAAAATAGTTACTACTTGTCCCTTTACAGAAAAAAAAGTTTGTCAACCCCTGCCTTAGACCACACTCACTTCAATTGATGGAAATAAGAATATGAAGAAATAACTATATGGTCAATGCTCTGTGCTTCCAGGGAGAGGAAAGAAGAAATGTGGATGATGTAGTAAGAGGAAAATGGCTTGCTTTGTCTCAATAGCTGAGGATCATTTTATCTACAGGGGTGGTGTGTCTCCTTCAAAGGGAGGGCAAGAAGGAGACCTATGTTGGTGGGCCTACTGAACTGCTTGATCCTCCAATCTGTCAAAGGACACCCTTTAAAAGAAAATACCATCCAAAAATCTTAGTGTGTCTATCAGATAGTGGCTCTAAGGCTGTAATTTTCCCCTGTTCACAGACTCGGCTAACAAAGTGAGCTGAGTAGGTTGGCAAAGGTCATCCTCTCTTTATACGAAGGAAACACAAAGGAAAAACATTAATAACGCTGGGCTTTGAACTCTATTATGTTGTCCCTGGAAACTCACATAAATTCAGTTCCTTGTGAATGTATGGGAGAAAGGTGAATTCAGCTGGACATAAAAGTGATTTGTCCATCATTTGTCCAACCAATTCCCCAGCTGCTGAAAACTCATACACTCGTTGCACAATACAAGCCAATGGAATGACTGGCTCACTTGATGCAGTTTCATTTATCATTGAATATTTTAGAATTGCCTTTGAAAATATAATTTGGCTTCCCACATTGGCTGCTTATAGGAAAATTATAGTGATCTGCTGACACCAGCATTCTAGTCTGTGCAATGGCTATATTTCTCAACATAAATTTACATTCTGATTCATAAACGTATTGGTCTCTGTTATCTAGGGCAACTATCACTGTTGCTAAAATTCTGAAATTATTAAGAGTTTAAGAATGAGACTGTTGACCACATTAAATTCACCAAAGGCCATTTGGTGAGTCCCTTGAATCCAGGTATCTAGTTTTCCAGAGAGGGCAAAAACACTCTCTGAAATTGTGTATACAACACAGAGGCATTGCAGCATATGCAAATTTAATGTATGTAAATTAATAATATATGCTGAGAGGAAAAAAAGGCAGAACTACTTAAGTAGTATGGATAATTCCATGAACCATTCCACTAAGTTCATTCAGTCTCAGTGGCTCAGGATAGGAGACATGAGTATGCTGTTCCTCAGTCAGTCTTAGTTTCCACCCACATCTAAAAGTATCAGCATCTCATCATGCCGTGTGTAACTCTAGTGTTTAAAGATACATGCTCTTCAAACCAGATGGTGTCCAAATACTTGATCTGTTACTTACCTAAAGAAACAGTGGAAAGCGCCAATTCTGAAGATAACACAAGCTGTATTGAACTTCTGGAGTGAGTCTGTAATGCAGTACTATCTAAAAGTTTTTTCAAAGAAATTTTTGACTAAAATACAATTTTTGCTTCATGAGCTAACTTTAGCTCCTAACCATCATGTAAGATATAATTTCACTACTGCTGTCTTAACCCTTGGAAAAACTACATATTTGAAGTTCTGCTCAATCTCATATTGGGAGGAGGAAGGAGCGTGTCAATCTATCTGTTCCAACAAGAACCATGGTGCCCCTGAGATTGGCACTTCCCATGCTGTGTTCCATGACACATTCATTGTTAATAGATGTTCTTGCCAAACAGGGTTCTGTAATTTAAAAGTCTGGGCAATGTTGCATATTATATTGTCTTCTCAAAAGTCACAATGCACATTACCATGCTGAGAGAGTCCTGCCATAAAGAAAGCAATTTAATTTCATTAGAACTGGCATTTTCCATATGCAGTAGGCAGAATCTCTCAGCTATCTTTGTCCTGCCCCCTTTCTCATTTCTTCCCAACAGTAGAGAGTACTATTTTGAATTCTCCAATTTGGGATAGAGTGGAGGGCAGAGCCACTGTGTGTTAAAGTCACAGTGAAGACACATCAGTGAGCTAGTGAGTTGACCTAAAGCCCATCCCCTAGGACAGTGCTTCTCAAACACAAACGTGCATACAAGTCACATGGGGATCTTGTGGAAAATGAAGATTCTGATTCAGCAAGTCTCGGGTGGGGCCCCAGATTCTGCATTTCTTAGAAACTTTCAGATGATGTTGATATTGCTGGTATTAGGGACCACACTTTGAAGAATAAGGTGCTAGGAACAGTCTCAACCACCTTTCTCCCCCTCTTCTCTTCTCATCCTCACCCAGGTATGCAGGCCATTTCTGTCTCCAGAAGCTGATGGTAATGGTAAGATTGAAAATTAGGGGAGACAGAAGCCTGCTTAGGGGATGCCTGGAGCCTGAGCTGACTGCTCCAATCCATCTATAAGGATAGCTCTCATGAGGTGACTATGCACCAGCTTAAGTGGTGGCAATTTTGATTACCGTTTTCTTTGCCTCTGGTATGTGAGGTCCCTTCAGTAACCCTGCAGTGAAAGTGGTGATTGACAAAACAGAATTCATGCATTCTCAGATTCCTTATTCATAATGCCATCTTAACATGATCGAAATTTCCCCTGTGCCCATCACACCACACTTGCTGGATGCTGGACCATGATTTGCAATGGGAGATCTCTTAGCAGATAGCCATGGCATAGGAAACAGAGCTTCTGACGCTTGGAAGTCTGCTTCTTTACTAGCGCAGGGCATATGTAAGTTGATCATCTTCCAGCTGACTGAGGATAAGACTACAGAAACTTCCTCTCACAATTCCCCAGGCTCTGTCTCTTTACATATGGCAACTCAGATCCCACGGCATCACGAAGTACAGTTTGAAGTCTGTAGCTTCATCTTTTTATCACTAGGAAACAGGAGAGCATATGCCAGATCTGCACATAAGCAACAGGTAACCAAGATCTTCAATATGCCAGGTTCGCATTTGAAAGCAAAGCAATCCAGGGGGGACCCTCTCTGTCACTGCTCAGAGTAAGAAACTGACCTGCAGGGGCATGTTAACTCAGGTGGAAAATGGGCCTTTATTCAATGTCTGCATACTGAAGGAGAACTGTGCATATTTTGGAAATTAAATTACCAAAACAAACAGAAGGATCTTCCCAACTCACACCCAGTTAGAAAATAGTCCCTCTTTGTACTTTTTTTCTTCCAAGAGTAAATTATCTTTGCTATCAGATTATGACAAAGAGGATTTCGATGGGGAAGGAGGAGAAAGATGGGCCAGGTGATCTCTCAAAATGCCTTGTAATACTTGAAGCACAGGTGTCTAAAATACTGGGTCTTGAGTATTTACGATTTATCATCCAAGAAGGCAGACAAACTGTCTATCTTAGCTTGTTAGCTGTAAAGGGCCAGCATTCCAAAGAAGGATTTGATAAATCCTGCATTCCGATTTCCATAACAAGAAAAATGTTAAGTTTAATGTGTTTGGACTGCATGAATTCTTGGATTCAATAACAGAAACAATTTCAGATGGATGGGTGAGTGGGATGGCAGAAATTCAGGATTGTATCCAAGGGTTTTCTTTTACATAAAGTTTTACCCTTGGCCACTCAGTTATCCTCCATATGTGGATTTTCATCACCCTCAGCTTCCAGAAAAGAAATGGAGTGTGTCAAGGTGAAGATGTTACTCAGCATGAATTATAGAGCTGAGCATAGAAACCAAGAGGTGTACTTTCCACTTGGAACTCTAACAGGGTGGTTAAAGGCAGATTTACTGCAGTAACAGGCTTCTGGCTCAAAAAGGTGAGGCGTTTGTTCACAGAGCTCAAAGATGGTAGAAAGAACCATTTCATTGTCAATTTGATAATTTTGAAAAGTACATAAACTATCATCCATTTCATATTTAGAAGTGGCTTGTAGGAAAAGCATGGAAGCATAAACAGAAAAGGAAGCTCTTAATAAAAAGTCCATATCTATGGTTTGTTTTCATTCCATGTGAAAAGAACTTTAATATCTATGACATATTTACCTATATATCAATCTATAAGTTAGGCAGGATAGGAAATAAAATGACTAGTTTTCAAAACCATGAAAAACAATTTTTTAAACAAGTGGGAAATTATTTTTATATTATGTTTCTTCCAGTTATAAAAATAATAATTAGCTAGTTTAAAGAGTTCAGAAGTTAACTCACTACCCAAAAATAAGGAGTTAAAATTTTGGTGCATTTCCCTTTTCTATGGCCTTATGTGTGTGTAGACATGTGCTCACATGTAGGAATCTACATGAACCAGCATACCTCATTTCATTGTGCTTTGCAGATGTTGCTTTTTTTTTCTTAATTGGAGGTTTGTGGCAACCCTGCATTGAGCAAGCCTGTTGGTACCATTAATCCAAAAACATGTACTCACTTAGCATCTCTCTGTCACATTTTGGCGATTCTTACAATATTTCAAACCTTTCATTATTATTATATCTGTTACGATTATCTGTGATCAGTGATTTTTGATGTTACTATTGTAATTATTCAGGGGCACCCAAACTGTGCCCACAGAAGATAGAGAATTTAATAGATAAATGTTCTGTGTGTTCTGGCTGCTCCACTGACTGGTTGTTCCCCGTCTCTTTCCCTCTCCTTGAGCCTTTTTATTCCCCGAGACACAATTTCACAATATTGAAATTAGGCCAATTAATAACCCTACAATAGCCTTTAAGTGTTCAAATGAAAGGAAGAGCCATACATCTCTCACTTTAAATCAAAAGCTAGAAATAATTAAGCTTAATGAGGAAGGCATGTTGAAAGCTGAGACAGGCTGAAAGCTAGGCCTCTTGTCCCAAACAGCCAAGTGGTGGATGCAAAGGAAAAGTTCTTGAATGAAATTAAAAGTGCTACTCCAGAGAATACATGAATAAGAAAATAAAACAGCCTAATTGCTGATATGGAGAAAATTTGAGTAGTCTGGATAGATCAAACCAATCACAACATTTCCTTAAGCCAGAGCCTAATCCAGAGCAAGGCCCTAACTCTCTTCAATTCTGTGAAGGCCAAGAGAGTTGAGGAAGCTGCAGAAGAAAAGCCAGAAGCTAGCAGAGGGTGGTTTATGAGGTTTAAGAAAAGAAGCCATCTCTATAGCATAAAAATGCAAGGTGAAGCAGCAAATGCTAATGAAGAAGCTGCAGCAAGTTATCCATATGATCTAGCTAAGATAATTGGTGAAGGTGGCTACACTAAACAACAGCTTTTCAATGCAGATGAAACAGCCTTCTGTTGGAAGAAGATGTCATCTAGGACTTTCATAGCTAGAGAGGAAAGGTCAATGACTGGTTTCAAAGACAGGCTGACTCTCTTGTGAGAGGCTATTGCAGCTGGTGACTTTAAGTTGAAGCCAATGCTTATTTACCATTCTGAAAATCCTAAGGCCCTTAAGAATTATGACACTGTAGTCCCAGCTACTCAGGAGGCAGAGGCAGGAGGATGACTTGAGCCAGGAATTTGAGGCTGCAGTGAGCTATGATCATGCCACTGCACTCCAGTCTGGGTGACAGAGCAAGACTCCATCTTTAAAAAAAACAAAAGTATCCTAAACAGAACAACAGAAGTTAGATAATAGCACATCTCTTTACAGAATGGTTTACTGACTCTTTTAAGCTCACTATTGAGAACTATTGCTCAGAAAATAAAAGATTTCTTCAAAATATTACTGCTCATTGATAATGCACCTGATCACCCAAGAGCTCTGATGGAGATGTACAAGGAGATAAATGTTTTCATACCTGCTAACGAAACATCCATTCTGCAGCCCATGGACCAAAGAGTCATTTTTACTTTCACATCTTATTTAAGAAATGTATTTCACAAGGCTATAGCTGCCATAGATAGTGATTCCTCTGATAGATCTAGGCAAAGTAAATCTAAAACCATCTGGAAAGGATTCACAATTCTAGATGCCATTAAGAATATTTGTGATTCATAGGAGGAGGTCAAATTGTCAACATAAACAGGAGTTTAAAAGTAGTTGATTCCAACCCTCCATGGATGACTTTTAGTAATTCAAAACTTTAGTGGAAAAAGTAACTGCAGATGTGGTAGAAATCATAAGAGAACTAGAATTAGAAGCAGCCTGAAGATGTGACTGAATTGCTGCAATCTCATGATAAAACTTGAATAGATGAGGAGTTTCTTCTTACGATGAGCCAAGAAACTGGTTTCTTGAGATGGAAGCTACTCCAGGTGAAGATGCTGTGAACATCATTGAAATGACAACAAAGGGCTTGGAATCTTCCATAAACTTAGCTGATAAAGCAGTGGCAGAGTTTGAAAGGACTGTCTCCAATTTTGAAAGAAGTTCTACTGTAGGTAAAATGCTATCAAATAGCATTACATGCTACAGTAGAAATTTTTTTGTGAAAGGAAAAGTCAATTGATTAAGCAAACTTCATTGTTGTCCTATTTTAAGAAATTGCCACAGCTACCCTAACCTTCAGCAACCAGCACCCTGATCCATCAGCACCCATCAACATGGAGGCAAGGCCTCTCTATCTTTTCATGGCTTGATAGCACCCTTACTTGTAGCACAGAATAATATTTCATTATCTAAATGTACCACAGTTTGTTTATCCATCACTCACTGAAGCATATCTTCGTTGCTACCAAGTTCTAGCAATGACAAATAAAGCTGATATAAACATCTGTGTGCAGGTTTCTGTGTGAACACAGGTTTTCAACTCCTTTGGGTAAACGTGAAGGAGCACAATTACTGGATTGTGTGGTAAGAGTATGTTTAGTTTTGCAAGAAACTGCCAAACTGTCTTTCCAGGTGGATGTGCCATTTTCATTCCCAGCAACAATGAAGAGTTCTACTGCTCCATATCCTCACTGGGATTTAGTATTGTCAGTGTTCTGGACTTGGGCCATTCTAATACGCATATAGTGGTATCTCATTGTTATTTTTTTCTTTCCAACTTTTATTTTAGGTTCAGGGGAACATGTGCAGGTTTGTTACATGGGGAAATTGTCACAGGGGGTTGGTATACAGATTATTTCATCACCCAGGTAATGAGCATAGTGGCCAATAGGTAGTTTTTCAGTCCTCACCCTCCTTCCATCCTCTACCCTCAAGTAGGCCCTTGTGTCTATTATTCCCTTCTTTGTGTCCGTGTGTACTCAATGTTTAGTTCCCTCTTATAAATGAGAACATACAGTATTTGGTTTTCTGATTCTATGTTAATTAACTTACGATAATAACCTCCAGCTCCATCCACGTTGCTGTAAAGAACATGGTCTCATTCTTTTTATGGCTGCATAGTATTCCATGGTGTATGTGTACCACGTTTTCTTTATCCAGTCCACTTTTGACGGGCATCTAGATTGATTCCATGTCTTTGCTACTGCGAATATTGCTGCGATGAACATACGTGTGCACATGTCTTTATGGTAGAACAATTTATACTCCTTTGGGTATATACCCAGTAACAAGATTTCTGGGTTGGACAGTAATTCTGTTTTAAGTTCTTTTTCTTTTTTTCTTTTTTTTTTTTTTGAGACAGAGTCTGCTCTCTTGCCCAGGCTGGAGTGCAAGTGGTGTGATCTCAGCTCACTGCAGCCTCCGCCTCCCAGGTTCAAGCAATTCTCCTGCTTCAGCCTCCCAGGTAGCTGGGATTATAGGAATCTGCCACCATGTCCAGCTAATTTTTGTATTTTTAGTAGAGACAGGTTTTACTATGTTGGCCAGGCTGGTATCAAACTCCTGATCTCAGGGGATCTGCCTGCCTCAGCCTCCCAAAGTGCTGGGATTACAGGCATGAGCCACCACGTCTGGCCTGTTTTAAGTTCTTTGAGAAATCTCCAAACTGCTTTCCACAGTGATTGAACTAATTTACATTCCCACTAGTGATGTATAAACATTCCCTTTTCTCTGCAGCCTTGCCAGGATCTGTTATTTTTTTTATTTTTTAATACTAGCCATTCTGACTGGAATGAGATGGTATCTCATTATGGTTTTGATTTGCATTCCTTTAATGATTACTAATGTTAAGCATCTTTTTATATGCTTGCTGCCCATATGTATGCTTCTATTCAGAAGTGTCTGTTCATGTCTTTTGCCCATTTTTAATAGAGTTGTTTGGTCTTTGCTTGTTAATTTAAGTTCCTTATAGATTCTAGATATTTGACCTTTGTTGGATGCATAGTTTGCTAATATTTTCTCCCATTTTGTAGGTTGTCTGTTTACTCTGTTGACAATTACTTTTGCCATGCAGAAGCTCTTTAGTTTAGTTAGGTCCCACTTGTCAATTTTTGTTTTTGTTGCCATTATTTTAGGGGTCTTCATCATAAAATCTTTGCCAGGGCCTATGTCCAGGATGGCATTTCCTAGGTTTTCTTCTAGGGTTTTTATAGTTTTAGATTTTACATTTAAGTCTAATCCATCTTGAGTTTATTTTGTATATGATACAAGGAAGGGGTCCAGTTTAATCCTCCACATATGGCTAGCCAATTCTCCGACCACCATTTATTGAATAGAGAGTCCTTTTACCATTGCTTGTTTCTGTCGACTTTGTCAAAGATCAAATGGTTGTAGGTGTGTGACCATATTGCTGAGTTCTCAAACTTGTTCCACTGGTCTGTAAGTCTGTTTTTGTACCAGTACCACGCTGTTTCTGTTATTGCATCTGTGTAATATAGTTTGATGTCAGGTAGTATGATGCCCCTGGCTTTATTCTTTTGGCTTAGGATTGCTTTGACTCTTTGCATTCTTTTTTGGTTTCATACGAATTTTAGAATAGTTTTTTCTAATTCTGTGAAAAATGTTGATGGCAGTTTGACAGGAATAGCATTGAATCTATAAGTTGCTTTGGGTAGTATAGCCATTTTAACAATATTGATTCTTCCTATCCATGAGCATAAAATGTTTTTTCATTTCTGTCATCTCTGATTTCTTTGAGCAGTGTTTCATAATTCTCATTTTAGAAATCTTTCACTTCCCTGGTCAGCTGTATTCCTAGGTTTATTTTTTCTTTGTGTCTATTGTGAATGGAATTGTGTTCTTGATTTGGCTCTCAGCTTAGACATTATTAGAATATGGAAATGCTACTGATTTTTATTCATTGATGTTGTATCCTGAAACTTTGCTGAAGTTGTTTATTAGTTCTAGGAGCCTTTGGGCATAGACTGTAGGGTTTTCTAGGTAAAAAATCATATTGTCTGCAAAGAGAGATAATTTGATTTCCTTTCTTTCTATTTGGATGTATTTTATTTCTTTCTCTTGCCTGATTGCTCTGGCTAGGACTTCCAGTACTATGTTGAATAGGAATGGTGAGAGTGGGCTTCCTCATCTTGTTCCAGTTCTCAAAGAGAATGCTTTCAGCTTTTGCCTATTCAGCATGATGTTGGCTGTGGTTTTGTCATGGATTGCTCTCATTATTTTTTGGTATGTTCCTTTGATGCCTGGTTTGTTAAGGGTTTTTATCATAAAGCGATGTTAAATTTTTTTCAGAAGCCTTTCCTGTGTCTGCTGAAATGACCATGTGGTTTTTGTTTTTAGTTCTATTTATGTGGTAAATTGCGTGTCTTGATTTGCTTATATTGAACCAAACTTGCATCCCAGGAATAAAGCCTGCTTGATCATGATGGATTAGCTTTTTCATGTGCTGCAGGATTCAGCTAGCTAGTATTTTGTTGAGGATTTCTGCATCTAAGTTCATCAGGGATATTGGCCTAAAATTTTCTTTCTTCATTGTGTCTCAGCCAGGTTTTGGTGTCAAAATGATGCTAGCCTCTTAGGATAAGTTAGGGAGGAGTCCCTCCTCCTCAAATTTGGAATAGTTTAAGTAAGATTCATACCAGTTCTTTTTCTTTTAACTTTAATTTTAGTTTCAGGAGTACATGTGCAAGCTTGTAAACTCATGTCACAGGGATTTGATATACAAATTATTTCATCATCCAAGTACTAGGCCTGGTATCCAATAGTTACTTTTTCTGATCTTCTCTCTCCTCCCACCCTTCACCCTCAGGTAGTCCCCAGTGTCTGTTTTTCTCCTCTTTGTGTCTGTGTGCTCTCATCATTTAACTCCCACTTATAAGTTAGAACATGCACATACCAGCTCTTTATATGCCTAGTAGAATTTGGCTGTGAATCCATCTGGTCCTGGCCTTTTTCTGGTTGGTAGGCTTTTTATTACTGATTCAATTTCAAAACTTGTTATTGGTATGTCCAGGATTTCAATTTCTTCCTGTTTAAATCTTGGGAGGTTGCATGTTTCCAGGAACATCCATTTCTTGTAGGTTTTCTACTTTGTGTGCATAGAGATGTAATACTTTCTGAGGGTTCTTTGTATTTCTCTGGGGTAAGTGGTAACATTCCCTTTGTCACTTTTTTTTTTTTTATTATACTTTAAGTTTTAGGATACATGTGCACAACATGCAGGTTTGTTACATATGCATACATGTGCCATATTGGTGTGCTGCACCAATTAACTCGTCATTTAGCATTAGGTATATCTCCTAATGCTATCCCTCCCCACTCCCCTCACCCCACAACAGTCTCTGGTGTGTGATGTTCCCCTTCCTGTGTCCATGTGTTCTAGAACTATAAATACCGTTCGACCCAGCCATCCCATTACTGAGTATATACCCAAAGGATTATAAATCATGCTGCTATAAAGACACCCTTTGTCACTTTTGATTGCATTTATTTATTCTTTTTTTCTTCATTAATCTAACTATCAGTCTATTAATCTTAATTATTCTGTCAAAGAACCAACTTTTAGTTCTGTTTCTCTTGTATGGTGTTTCACATCGATTTTGTTCAGTTTAGCTCTGATTTTGGTTATTTCTTTTCTTCTTATAACTTCAGGGTTGGTTTGCTCTTGTTTTTCTAATTCCTCTAGGTGTGATGTTGGGTTGCTAATTTGTGAGTTTTCTAACTTTTTGATGTGGGTATTTAGTACTATAGTTTCCTTTTAACACAGCATTAGCTGTGTCCCAGAGATTTTGGTATGTTGTATCTTTGTTTTCATTAGTTTCAAAGAATTACTTGATTTCTGCCTTAATTTCACTGTTTAACCAAAAGTCATTCAGGAGCAGATTGTTTAATTTCCATGTAAATTGTATGATTTTGAGAAACCTTCTAGTATTGATTTCTATTCTTATTACTCAGTGGTGCAAGAGTGTGGTTGGCATAATTTTGTGGGTTTTTTTAATTTATTGAGAATTGCTTTATGACTGAGCAGGTAGTCGATTTTAGAGTATGTGCTATGTGCAGATGAGAAGAATATATTTTCTCTTGTTGTTAGGTGGAGAGTACTGTAAATGGCCGTTAGGTCCATTTGGTCAAGTGTCAAGTTTAGGTCCCAAATATTTTTGATAGTTTTCTGCCTTGATGATCTGTCATACTGTCAGTAGAGTGTTCAAGTTTCCCATTATTATAATGTGGTTGTCAAAGTTTCTTCATAGGTCTCTAAGAACTTGTTTTATGAATCTGGGTGTTCCAATATTAGGTCCATAAATATTTAGGATAGTTAAGTTTTTTTGTTGAGCTGAACCCTTTATCATTATGTAGCGCTCTTCTTTGTGCGTTTTGATCATTCTTGGTATGAAGTCTGGTTTATCTGAAATTAGAATACATTTTTCTTCATTCCTTTTCTTTGAGCCTATGGGTGTCATTGCATGTGAAATAGGTTTCCTCAAGACAGCATTCGATTGGGTTTTGCTTCTTTATTGTGCTTGCCACTCTGCACCTTTTAAGTGGAGCACTTAGCCTATTTACATTCAAGGTCAGTACTGATATGTGTGGATTTGATCCTGTCATCACATTGTTAGGTGGTTGTTATTTAGACTTTATTGTGTAGTTGCTTTATAGTGTCAATGGTCTATGTACTTAAGTCTGTTTTTGTGATGGCTGATGATGGTGTTTTCTTTCCATTTTTAGCCCTTCCTTAAGGAACTCTTGTAAGGCAGGTCTGGTGGTTACAAATTCCCTTAGCATTTGCTTGTCTGGAAAGGATTTTATTTCTTATTTGCTTATGAAGTTTAGTTTGACCAGATATAAAATTCTTGGTTGGAATTTCTTTTCTTTAAGGATGCTGAATATAGGCCCCCAATCTCTTCTGGCTTGCAGGGTTTCTGCTGACAGGTCTGCTATTTGCCTGATGGGGTTCCCTTTGCAAATAACCTTCCCCTTCTCACTACTTGCCTTTCATTTCTTTTCTTTTGCATTGAGCTTGAAAAATCAGATAACTATATGTCTTGTGGATAGTTATCTCGTACAGTATCTCAGTGGAGCTCTCTGAATTTTCTGAATTTGAATGTTGACCTCTCTAGCGAGGTTGGAGAAGTTTTCAGGGACAGTATCTTCAAAAACGTCTTCTAAGCTGCTTGCTCTCTCTCCCTCTATTTATTTATTTATTTATTTATTTGAGATAGAGTCTTGTTCTGTTGCCAGGCTGGAGTGCAGTGGAACAATCTCAGCTCACTGCAACCTCCACATCCTGTGTTCAAGCAATTCTCCTTCCTCAGCCTCCCAAGTAGCTGGGACTACAGGCACATGCCACCATGTCCAGCTAATTTTTGTATTTTTAGTAGAGGTGGAGTTTCACCATGTTGCCCAGAATGGTCTCGATCTCTTGACCTCATGATCTGCCTGCCTTGGACTCCCAAAGTGCTGGGATTACAGGCATGAGCCACCATGCCCAGCCCTCTCTCCCTCTCTTTCATGGATGCCAATAAGTCATAGATTTGGTCTCTTCAGATAATCTCATATTTCTCATAGGTTTTGTTGATTTTTTTTATTCTTTTTTCTTTATTTTTGTCTGATTCAGTTGATTCAAAGAACCAGTCTTCAGGCCGGGCGCAGTGGCTCACACCTGTAATCCCAGCACTTTGGGAGGCTGAGGTGGGCGGATCATGAGGTCAGGAGATCGAGACCATCCTGGCTAACACGGTGAAACCCCGTCTCTACTAAAAATACAAAAAATTAGCTGGGCGTGGTGGCGGATGCCTGTAATCCCAGCTACTTGGGAGGCTGGGGCAGAGAACTGCTTGAACCCAGGAGGCGGAGGTTGCAGTGAGCCAAGACCATGCCACTGCACTCCAGCCTGGCGACAGAGTGAGACTCTGCCTCAAAAAAAAAAAGAACCAGTCTTCAAGCTCTGAGATTCTTTCCTCAGCTTGTTCTATTCCGTTGTTAACATTTTCAACTGTAGTATAAATTTTTGTAGTGAGTTTTTCAGCTCTATCACATCAGTTTTCTTCCTTCTTAAAATGGTCATTTCATCTTTCATCTCTTGTATCATTTCACTGGATTCCTTAGATTCCTTGGATTGGATTTCAACTTTCTCCTGAATCTTGATGATCTTCATTGTCATCCAGATTCTGAATTCTAAGTCTGTCATTTCAACTACATCAGCCTGGTTAAGAACCATTGCTGAGGAACTAATGCAGTCATCTGGTGGTTAGAAAACATTCTGGCTTTTTGAGTTGTCAGAGTTCTTGCACTGGTTCTGTCTCATTTGTGTGGGCTGATGTTCTTTTACTCTTTGAAGTTGCTGTCTTTTGGGTGGGGCTTTTTGCCTTCACATTTGATGCCCTTGAGGGTTTGACTGTGGTATAAGTTGGGTTCAGTCAACTGGCTTTGTTTCTGAATGATTTCCGGGGGCTCTGGCTCACCTCAGCACTGCATGCTGTAACCCTAGGGGGCTGGACCCAAGCCCACTGCTTTATTCTGTGGCCCCTTGAGATTAAAGCACCTGCTGTGCTGGAAGAGCCAACATGTTCCCAGTCTCTGGCAGCAACACTTTGAAGGGGTTGCTAGCAAAAGTGCTTTGGTGGGGTGGTGGCAGTGGGGTCTGCATTCATGCACACACACCAATAGTGGCTAGGAGGCAGTATGGTAGGGTCCAAACACACACACACACATGCATGTGCTGCCAGCAGCAGGGTAGTGAGGTCTCCATGCATCCATATACCAGCAAAGCAGTGAGGAGATGCTGCAAGTGGGGCTCATCAGTAAAATGGTGGAGGGAGGCTGCTGGTGGGTACACATCAGCAAGAACCCATCTGCTATATCTCTCCAATGGTTAGGCAGGGTCTACCAGTGAAGAAGCTATGTCAGCAACCACCAGGAAGTACCCCAGTTAGGCATCCAAATCTGTACTGCAAATGAGCATGGCTAGTGAGGGACCCTGGAAGAGGCTGGGGAAAACAGGGCACTCAGATTAACCTGGTCACATCTGTTGGGCAAGACAGCCCTTCTCTGTCCATGTCCAACAGTTAACGAAGGGCAGACTTACCTAAAGGAGTGTGGTGAGCCTTGGGGAATGGGCATCTCTGGCCTTGCTCCACTGAAGCTGTTATGACATCAAGCCCTCTGGATGCTACACAGGCTGGAGTCATGTCCCTGCCACTTCTCTAAGCAGCTCGCTCTGCCAGCTCAAATGTCCATGGGGGTCATGGGGTCTCCTGCCGCTGGGATTCTGGAGGTCTGTAGTGAGAGTGGGCCTCTCCTCTCCTATTTAACTCACCCCTTCTTCAGGAGTTGCTGGGGGATGGGAATGAGTCCTGGCACTCAGGAGTCCTGTTCAGGGTTCCCAGCTTCCTCCCCCTCCAGCCTGGGGTCTGCATTCTCTCTCTACCCACTCTCAATGCCCTCCTTCAGAAGATGTGCTTGGAGGGGGATGGTCTTCTTAATGGTCAGGTCTTTCAGTGGCAGATGCTCTTCCCAACTGCATCTAGTCAGCCATCTTGGCTCCCCTCAAAACTCATTATTATTTTAATTGGCATCCCCTTTATAACACATTATTTGGAGCATTTATTAATATGTTTATTTGCCATGTGGATAACTTCTTTGGCAAGGTGTCTTTTAAGGTCTTTATCCTTAAAAGGTCTTTATCCTTTATCCTTTTAAGATCTTTATCCTTAAAAGACACCTTACCAAAGAAGTTATCCACATGGCCAATATGGTTTCTTATTGCTTGTTTTCTTATTGTTGAGTTTTAAGAGTTCTTTATATACTTTGGACAACAGTGCTTTAACAGATGTATCATTTGCAAATATTTTCTTCCCATCTGTGACTTGTCTTCTCATTCTCCTGACATTGTCTTTCACAAAGCAGAAGTTAATTTTAAATGAAGTCCAGCTTATTGCTGGTTTACTTTCATGAATTATGCCTTGGTTTTATATCTAAAAAGTCACCACCATACCCAAGATCACCTAGGTTTTCTCCTATGTTATCTTCTAGAAGTTTTGCATTTACATATAAGTCTGTGTTCCATTTTGAGGTAATTTTTGTAAAGGGTATATGGTCTTAACCTGGATTTATTTATTTATTTTTGCATGTAGATATCCAATTGTTCCAGCAACATTTATTGAAAAGTCTATCTTTGCTCCAGTATTGCCTTTGTGCCCTTGTCAGAGAAGAGTTGACTATATTCATGTGGGTCTATTTCTGGTCCATCTATTCTGTCCCATTGATCTATGTGCATATTCTTGGCTAATGTCACACTGTTATGATTGCTGCAACTTTATGGAAAGTGTTGAAGTCAGGGCTGGTCGCAGTGGCTCATGCTTGTAATCCCAGCACTTTGGGAGGCTGAGGCGGGCAGATAACTAGGTCAGGAGATCAAGACCATCCTGGCTAACTCAGTGAAACCGCATCTCTACTAAGAAATACAAAAAAATTAGCCGGGTGTGGTGGCAGGCACCTGTAGTCCCAGCTACTCGGGAGGCTGAGGCAAGAGAATGTCGTGAACCCAGGAGGCAGAGCTTGCAGTGAGCTGAGATAGCACCACTGCACTCCAGCCTGGGCGACAGAGCAAGACTCCATCTCAAAAAAAAAAAAAAAAAAAAAAATGAAAGAAAGCCTTGAAGTCAGAGACACTATCAGTCCTCCAACTTTGTTCTTTAATATTGTGGGTCTTTTGCCTCTCTATATAAACTTTAGATTCAGTTTGTCAATATTCACAAAGTAACATGCTTGATTTTGATTGGGATTGTGTTGAATCTATAGATCAAGTTGGCAAGAACTGACATCTTGACAATATTGTGTCTTCCCACCCATGAACATGAAATAGCTCTCCTTTCATTTAGTTCTTCTTTGATTTCTTTCCATAGAGTTTTGTAGTTTTTCTCAGGTAGATATTACACATAATTTGTTAGGTTTATACTGAAGTATTTATTTTTAAAGTGCTAATATAAATAGTATTGATTTTAATTTCAAATTCCACTTGTTCATTGCTGATATATAGAAAAGCAATTGTTTATTGTGTATTAATCTTTTATCCTGCAATATTGCTATAATCACGTATTAGTTCCAGGAGTGTTTTTTGTCAATTTTTTCCAGATTTTCTACATAGACAACCATGTCATCTATGAACAAAGACAGCTTTATTTTTCCTTTTCAATCTTATATCTTTTATTTCCTTTCCTTGTCTTATTACATTAGATAGGACTTCCAGTACAATGTTGAAAATAAGTGGTAAGTGGGGGTATCTTTGCCGTGTTCCTGATGGCAGTGGGAGAATTTCTAATTCCTCACCATTAAGTGTGATGTTAGCTGTAGGATTTTTGTAGATATTCTTTATCAAGTTGAGGAATTCCCCACTATTTCTAATTTACTGAGAATTATCTGTGTCATGAATGGGTTTTGTCAGATGTTTTTTCTGTATTTATTAATTGTGGAATTTTCCTTTTTTAGCCTGTTGATGTAATTGATTATATAAATTCATTTTTGAATGCTGAACAAGCCTTGCATATCTGGGAAAAAAATCCTACCTGATAATGGTGTATAATTCTTTTTACGCATTGTTATATCCAATTTGCTGATATTTCATTGAGGATTTTTGCACCTATGTTCATGAACTATTGGGTTTTAGTTTTCTTTCCTTATAATGATCTCATCTGGTTTTGGTGTTAGGGTAATGCTGGCATCATAGAATGAGTTAGGAAGCATTCCCTCTGCCTCTATATTCTAAAAGAGATTACAGAGATTTAGTGTAATTTCTTCTTTAAATGCTTGGTAGAATTCACCAGTGAATTCATCTGGGCCTGGTGTTTTCTGTTTTGGAAAGTTATTCATTACAATTCAATTTTTTAAATAGATAAGCCTATTCAAATTGTCTATTTCTTTTTGTGTGAGTTTTGGCAGACTGTGTCTTTCATAAAATTGTTCCATTTCTTCTAGGTTATCAATCTTGTGGATGTAGAATTGTTCATGGTATTCCCTGATGAGGTCTCAGTCTTCCCGTGAGCCTCTGCCTCTGGACTGTGAACTTTGTAAGTGATTCTCAGATTTTTCAATCCTGTTAGGTGGCATGTAATAGCTGAGGGTGGGAGAGGTTGGAGTTAGGTACTTCCCTTTTCCCAGTAGAAGGCTAGAGGGCACTGGAATTGGGTACTTCCCTTTCCTCAGGTCACTTAGCCTCTGATAAAACTCCAGCAGTTAGGGGCTAGTTAAATAGATTCCCCTGAGGGCAGCCTTTGTTAAAAACAGAGTGCACTGGCATATTTTAAAATGACTCCTCCCCTCTTCCTGTTGGAAGCATGAGGAGCTTTACTCTGATATTTACTCTGAGAACCTGGTTTGACTCCAGGAAATAAAATTCACAAAAGTGTGGGGATCTTCCTATAACTGGGTCCTCCTGAAGTTTTTAACTATCAGAGCTGCCTATACTGAGCTTCCTGCAATTCATCAATTACTGTTCAGGTCTTCCAACCCCAGCACTGTTTCCACTCTTGAGTCTCTGCTCTAGTAAGCCCTGATTCCCTGTATTTACCTGTCTCTCCAATCTTGGGGTTAGTAGTGTGCCCTCACCTCTCTTAGAGGCCCAAGAAGAGTTGTTGATTTTTTAGTCTGTTTAGATTTTTATTTGTTGTTAGGACAGAGTGGAAACTTCCAAGCTCATGCAGAAGCAGGAACCAGAAATCTGCCATATGTTCAACTTTGGTAGACAATGTCAAACTTTTCCAAAGTGGTTGTACCAGTTTACATTCTCACCAGCAATGTATGAACATTCTTGTTCTCAAATTTTTGACAACATGGTAATATCCATTATTTTTAAGCCTTTCTGTTGTATCTCATCTTGGCCTTATTTTGTATTTTCCCTAATTACTAATAAATTTAAGCACCTTTTCATAAGCCTTTTGAATGTTTTATTTTGTAAATTATATGTTAAGTATCTTGTGCAATTTTCTTAGCTTTCTTGTGCATTTTTCTTACTGATTTGTAGGGGATATATAGAGAGATAGAGATATATAAATACACACACACATACAAAACTCCAGCCTTTCAGTTATATTTATTAAAATCATCTTTGCCATTGTAGATTTGTCTTTTCGCGCTTTCACAAGATCTTCTGATGAAAAAAAAAGAAGTCCTAATTTGAAGGTGGTTCAAATTATCTTTCTTTCCTTTGTGGTAAGAAATCTTTTTGTGTCCTATCTAAAATTTGTTCTACTTGAAGGTCATGAAGAAATTCCCTTCTACAATCTGATAGAAGCTTTACTGGAATTTATTTGTATGTATGGTATGATATAAGAGTCTAGATCCATTTTGTTAAGGGCTTTTAATTGACTCAGGATAATGTATTGAAAACCATTATTTTCCCCGCTGCTCTGTAGTACCCCTTTTGTCATCAATCAAATATCTGTTTATGTAAGATCTTTCTGGGTGTTAGAAATGCTTGTTCCCCGGTGCTGTAAAGAAATAGCACTTGAACATAAATTTAATTTCCTCAGCAAGGCCATTTTTACTTTCTGCAGAAAGGGTACACTCACCAGCAGTTTTGCCATGACAGTACACCGAACAAAGGAGACAGGGTCATTTATAACCTGATGCGTCCACCCTACTGCTGTGTCCAGTTTCCATTGGCTGGAACGGGACCTCACATTCTGTGTTTGTCCCGATTGGCTAGCAACTTAGAACTTTTTAAAACAGGCAAAGGCAGAGGAGAACAAAAGAAGGAGCAAGTAACTTGTGGAATGCTGAGAAAGGGAAAAGCACCTCTAAATAAGGAAGAGGAACAGGCTATGACCTAATGCCCTCTTGGACCAGTATAAGCATGCCAGGGCAAATATTTAGGCTAAACTGTGGGAGCTAAGAACATAAAGTACATGGATTTCTTTATTATGGCTAGCAGATATTTAAGAATGTTAGCACAGGTCTTTGAATAAATTTTGCTTCTAAGAGAAGTTACTATTTATTCCTAATTAGACGGAGAGGAGAGTCTCTTTGAAGAGGAACCTCTACTTTACTTTTTACATGGATTATTCATCCTATTTCACTAGTTTATTTGTCTATCCTTGCCCAAACATCATAGTGTCTTAATTATACGTCTTTATATTCAGTAAAGTCTAGAACTTTTTTCATCTTCAAGATCATTTTCACCATTCCCATTCTGTTGCATTTCCATACATGTTTTATTATCTATTTGATAATCCCCATCACTGAAAAAACAAACACACAGAAAACTCTTCTGTGCTTTCTTCTTCTCCTTTTCCTTCCCTTCCCAAACAATTTAATCTTAAATCATTAGGTAAAGAAGAACAAGAGAGGTATCCACAGTGGGTGAAGCAGGCTAGCTTTGGTGGCTTAGAGAAGAATGTCAGAGCCCAAGAAAGGGGATAGGAAGCCCATGCAGAAGATGGAGGGCGAGGGCAGTATGACATGGGGCCTCAGAGCCAACACATGGTAATGAGGGCATCCATATGGGGAAGTGAATTGGTGATATAAAGAGCTATGGATTAAATAAGTAAATATACTAAAGATAATAGAAGCCAGGATTTTCACTGTCAGAGTAGTAAATTACATACACAGAATAAGGACAAAACTAGAATGTGTTCTGTCGTGTTGGACTGGAATTGAAGGTACTAGTATAAGGTCAGATTTTTAAATGCATAGTTAGATTTTGTATATATAAATATATGTATTCCTTTTGTACATTGAGAAAGTCTAAAAGTAATTAATATTCTAATATCAATGTGCACACATTGCTTCCAGGTCTTGACTCCATTTTTCACTAAAACGAATCAAAACTCCTTGGAGAGATGACCGATTGCTGGGAAAAGACAGGGAATGTACAAGATGGACCTGGAACGTCTTTTGTGCCACAAAGCAAGAAGGTGCTCAAAGAGTAGTGAGAGTACATCAAGTCAGCTTGAACAAGCTTCCACTGGCCAAATTGGGGACAATTTGAACATCAAAATAAACAATGACAAAAGTATAGTATAGGCTATTGGATAAAATAGAAAACCATTTGACATTTACATACTTCCAAAGTACCTTCCCACAAAATACTTATTAATTACAAAGGGGAAAATAGTAAATTTATAGTGAAGGAGCTTGGCAAAATAGCACCTTAATCAAGTGATCAAAGAGATCATTACTGATAATGGGACAAACTGAAATTGTGCAGCATCTGATAGGATTCATTAAGAATCCAGCATAACTTCTGTCATATTCCTCCAAAAGATGTACAATCTGAATCTAATCGTGAGGAAGCACCACACAAACCTGGCTTGAGAGACATTATACAAAATAATTGACCTGTAATCCCCAACAGTGTCAAGGTCATGAAAGACAAGGAAACTAGGAAATGCTTCATACTCAAGAATACTAAAGACAAATGACAACTAAGTCTGATTCTAAAGGTATCATTTTCTATGAAAAACATTATTGAGACAACTAATGAAACTTAAATGAGGTCTGAGGATTATATGATACTGATACAGCAATATAGGGTTTCTGTTTTGGTGGTAATTAAGGAAAATGTCTTTGTAGGAAGTAGACATAAACTATTTGGTAGTAGTAAGGCATTAGGTCAGCAACTTGCTCTCAAATGGTTAAGGAAAAAAATTTATTTGAATATGTTTCCAACTTTTCTGTAATTTTGATTGTTTTGAAATACATACACATTCATAGACATAGATATAGATATAATAGATATAGATATAAAGCTGCTAAGATTTTTACTGGGCATGCTTAGTTTTGATATATCAACTTGAGGAGTATTAATATCTTACCAAAATTTAGTCTTTCAATCTATGAACATGGTGTATTTCTCTGTGTAGCTGTTCTTTCAATAATATTTTATGTCTATCTGGACAGCGGATTTGTACTTCAGTTAGATTTATGCCTGAATATATAACTTTTTCATACAATTTTAAATAGTATATTTCTTTATTTTACTTCCTATTTTTTTGTTGCTGACTGATAGAAATGCAATTGATTTCTGGCTGTCAACTTTGTATCTGAAAACCTTGCCAAATTATTTAATATACCTAATAAATCACCTGCACATTCTTTTATATTTTCTTCATACCCAATCATATCACCTACAAATAAGAGTATCTAAACTTTACGCTTTTGTTATTTTTCATGCTATATTTAGCTGGCTAGTTTCTTCAATATATTTTTAATAAATTTAAAGGATATCCCTACTGACTCCCATCTCAGAAGGAAAGGGTTCAACATAGTACCATTAAGTATGATGTTTATTGTATTCTCTTTATCAATAGAGACTGTTCCCTTAATCCATTTCTAGTTTGCTAAAATTTGCTCATGAATAGATGTTGAAAGTTGACTGCTTTTTCTGCATTAAGATTTTCTTCTTCATAACATGCTTATTTTGTAGTCTTCATTTGATAATCCTATTGTTTAAAGTACTTTAAGATCTGAATTCTCTCATTTGTGTTTCTGCTCTTTCTTGCATTGGATTTTCTTTGTCTTCATCTATTTTGTAGTTTGCAATAAATTTAAATAAATATATATAATTTTATATAAAACTTTATATTTTGGGTTTGTCAGTGAGAATAATGTTTAATCTAGATTTTAGGTGTGTCGTTTCAAGGAAGTTCTACAATTGCTTCTGTTGAGTATTCCCAAAGTATTACCATCTCAGGATGACTTTAAGGCTTATGAATTCCTAGATCATTTGGGTTGTTTACATTCAAATCTCCATTTCAATTGGAGTAGGCCAGTGACTATGATATCCCATTAGAAACTTTTTACTTGATTTTATTTTTCAGTCAATGCTTAGAGAGGGAAGAACTGCCTTGCTGACCCACTTTGACAATGTGTGAACATTTTTCCTAGTCCACCTACTCACTGAAATCCAACTTTATTCAGTGTGAGATCCCACACCTCACCTAGGGTATACCTCATCTTCAACTTCAGATAGATATTAACATCTAAGCCCCATGGTTACAGAGACCAGAAATCCCCATCTCCAGCTGTACCCTGAGAGCAGTCAACACTTCTGCTTGACATTCACTGTTTCAACATCCTCTTCATTTCTGGCTCCTAGGGATTTCCCTTACATTCTTGCCAGTGCAACTATTCATTTAAATAGGTCATTTAAGTATTGTTATATTTTCTCCAGCAATTCTACATGTTTTATAATAGGAGGCTTTCAGATTAACTAATCTACACATATCACTAGGATTGGAAGTTCTTCTACCTTTCTCAGCCTCAGTTTCCTCATCTGACATAGAAAATTAATAAGGTAAAATAATGTAAAGTATCCAGCATATAGATAATCAAGAAAAGGAAGCTGCTATTTTTATTAGTATTACATCATAGTTATTTAACTTTTGCTAACTATATCTGTTTCTTACTTCTTTCTATTATATGTAACACTTTAATGTACATACATGAATATAAATACTTGTTCATTCACGATTATTTCTTGACATTAAATGCCAAGAAAAATCGTTCCTGGATCAAAGGATATGTTCACATTTTAAGACTCTTAATATACATTTTCAAGTTGTCCTCCAAAAAGATTTAGCAAACTGCATTTCCACTACTAGTGTATTAGAGTGCCCATTTTATTCTCTATTATCACTAACACTAGCTAATACAATTTTCAACATGTTTTCCAAATTAATAGGTAAAAATTATACTCTGATTTAAGATTAGTAATCCTTTGATTGCTACCATAAGAGCTAAGTATAAAACATATTAATGAGAGGTAGAGATTATAGAATTACTAGCAGAGAAAGACACACTTTGTGAATTGAGAGTATATCTAATTGCATAAGATACCAACATGTGAAACTTGGGAGGCTAGGCTTAAAGGATGCAAAAAGAGTCCCTGTGATTGCAAAAGAGAGAGAGAGTTTAGAAAGTAAGATCAAGATGATGCAAATTTCTGGCACATGTGCCAGTACTTCCCTTTCCCACACTCATCAGACATGCCTAGTTGATCACAGAATTCTTACTCACTGAGCTTAAAAGCAGCCTCAGTACCCTTCTCAACACAGCACTCGCACAAGCAATTGATTACTTTTGGCCCATAAGACAAAGCCTCCTTATTTTTCTTCACTTAGATTACAATTTTTAGGTCATGACAAGAGGAAAAAAGTATGTAATATTTAATGTTGCTTTGCATTTGAACCAATACAATTTGCAGCTGAGTACAAATGCTATTCTTTGTCGGGGTTTGTAGCACAGAGCCAGCCTCATAATCATTGTTGGAAAATTCTCCTCTCTCAGGGTAGGACAAAAGGAAAGAGACACTACCTAAAATGCAGGAGATAATCTAAACAATGGTACCTGCATCACCCAGCTAGAGAATGGGATCCCAGTGGGAAGAAGAGTGTAATCAGACGATCTGCAAACTTTTAGCAAAGGTTATTCCTTTTGTGAAATCAGGAGGAGGGAGGGAGGGAGTAAACATCGGCTTCTGTTGTCTTTCCCTTTGGCCTGTGAAGCCTCAGGTCACAGTCACCAGAATTCATCAACCTCAAATGCTCTCTGAAAAAAAGCAAGGGAGTTCCCTAATGACTGCCAAGCAGTGAAGCCTCTAACTGCATTGAGACCTTATTTTTCACCTCAGCATCAGCTTTCCATGGAGAGGAGCTCCCCAGAGGGCTGTCCTGAAACAGAGGTTTCAATCCAGGAGCCCTGGAAGGGAGTTTCTTTTTGTGCTGGGGTTCAGTTTTCTTGACTGAAATGCTGATTTGTAACATAATCAACTACTATATAAGGGGTCAACCTTGATCACAGTTGTTAAAAACCCAATCTGAGAGCATTTGAGTCCCCTCTCCCCATTTATTTTTGTTTTTGGCATCTTACTCTTAGGTGCTGCTATAAGGGTTGTCTGTTGAAGTGTATATAGTAGTAAGACAGTAAATGAAAGGATATATATCAAAAAATTTAACCACCACCAAGGGAATTTTTCCAATATAAAGAAAAATGTTCATTATTCTTCTCTTTTTAAACTAAGCATTTATATGATTAGCCAAGTCCACACTTTCTGGCATTTTAAACCAATCAAATGAGTTCTCATAACCTGGAGATCACCTAAATGATGGTACCTGAGTTACCCAGCTAGAGAATGGGATTCCAGTGGGAAGAGAATGCAATTGGATGATCTGCAAACATCACCTGACCTTTAGCTAAGGTTATTTCCTTTGTGAAATCAGGAGGATGGGGATTCCCTGATTATTGCTATTCTCTCCAACAACAGCAATAATCCTTTCCATTAGGGGGCAAATTCACTTATTCCAGCATATAATTCTCTAACCCCATAAACCACACTCTCTCATGAAACTTGACCATGTAAAAGTACACACACACACACACACACACACACACACACACACCTCTACCTTGTCCAGTTTCATATATCCCACCTCCAGCCAAGATGGGACCATCATTTTCTCAGGTAGGGTGGGGAGAGGTTTTAGGTGGTGAGGGCAGACAAAGAGAGGGCACAGAGCCCCTCAAGAGGAGTCTGGCTTCAGTATGTATTATTTTAAGGACAACCAAAACTTTGCACCGTAACTGGGCATGATGGTGCATGCCTGTAGTCCCAGCTACTTGTAAGACTGAGGCAGGAGGATCACTTGAGGCCAGGAATTTGGAGCAGCCGTGGGCTATGATGGAACCTGTAAATAGCCACTACACTCTAGCCTGGGCAACATAGCAAGACCCTATTTCTAAAAAACAAAACAAACAAACAAAAAAAACCTACAACTTTGCACTGCAGAGATGAACCCCCGGTAGTATAACTCCTCTACTTACTATACTAAAAAAAAAAAATTCACTGTCTCCCCCTTCACCCTGGAGTTTAATTTTAAAAGGCCCCATTCTATTCTTAGCATCCATTGCCTTCCATATGGTACTCTCTGGAAAGGGGAAGAAAACACATCTAGTCACACATATGCTCTACCCTAAGCCGGAAAGCCCCCACCCTTTCTTCTTCAGCTGACAAACCCTTCCTCATCCTTCTCTCTCTGCTCAAATCCTCTGTGAAAATGTGGAATGCCCCTGGGAGACTCGGGGATTCCTCCCTAATGTTTGTTCTAGAATCTATTAAGCTCCAATTACATTCCCCCATGCCTGCCCACATGTCTGCCTTCCTGCTGCACTGTGGGCTCATGAAGGTCAGAGACCCTTGTTTCTGATCTTCATTTCTCCAGCATCGAGCCCACTGTTAAGTACTAGGATGGCAAGTGATCAATGCTCTTGGATGATTGGATGGATGAATCCCCATGAGGACAGCCTGTCCTAATATCAGGTACAAATCTTACTATGTAAAGGC
Organism: Homo sapiens; assembly: GCF_000001405.40. NCBI lineage: Eukaryota > Metazoa > Chordata > Mammalia > Primates > Hominidae > Homo > Homo sapiens. Next base: position 155,341,292 of record NC_000005.10, on the reverse strand, counting down.
TGGAAAGACCCACAAGACTCATAGTGTTCAACGCCCTCTTTTCAAAGATGAGGCTGAGAGAAGTGATTTAATTAAGGTCACACAGTGAGTAGCTGGCATGGGCTATCTGTAGATTCACAGCCTAGTCCTCCTTCCACTGGAAAAAATACTTTTTCATTCATTCATGGGGAAAAGAAAAAAAAGATGTACTGAGCACATCCAATGCGACAGGCCCCGCAGATACCATGGTGAAAAAGTTAGAGGTGGTTTCTTCCTCCTGCGGCTTACAGTGGGGTGGTGGAGGTCGGGGCGGGGGCGGCATGGGATACAGGAAGTATTTAGATAAGCAGACAGGACCGGGAATTGGGTTAAGATGGGTCATGCTAGCCAGGGTCAAATTCTGACTTTATTTGAAATGTTGATATTTTGTCCACCAAGGATTTTTAGTCATAATTTTGATGTTTTAAAAATATTGCATTAAAATAGTTTTATCTTGATTCTTGAGTTTTTGGCACCCTTTTTCATTTTGTTCCTGAGGCGAGTACCTCATTCAGGTCACCCTAGTCCTTTTCCTATAAGTAACAATATAGTAACTTTATAAGTAACTATAAGTTACTTAGAGTAACTTAGAGTCATATTATAAGTAACTATGAGAATTTAAATGAAGAAGAAAGCAAATGACCAAACCTGTCTGACATACATCTTTGGAGAACTTTTTTAACTTTATACAGTTCTTGGCCTATTCCTGAGTGGGAAGGGATTTTATATGACAAGCATGGATTTGTTAATTCATTGTCTAATTGCTGAGACTACATACATTTCCCAGTTTATAAAGTCATCTCTTAAAATGTGCCAGTTTATGAGGTAATTTCTGTGGCCCTCAACTAATTATGCAAAATCATTTAGTTTTAAGTAAAGTCTCATACCTGCTGGCAGCTTCCATGATCAACATCCACCCTGTGATTTGTGTCACAAGAAAGATTTCACAAGGTTGATTTAAGGCACATTCATCGAGTAAAACAAGAGTTTTGTTCACATACCAATGCTATTCTTTTGAAGTTCCCCAATATTATATTATTACCAATGATGACATCGACATTAAAATGAATTAAAGAATAAAAAGTAAAAAAAAAAAAACTAAGCAAAAATGCCAAGTGCTTACCATAAACAGGCAATTACTGAGGCCACTGAAAACACAGCAAAATTGCTGATCATATGAATAGTGGTTGAAATACCAACAGTATGCAATGCACTTGCACACTGAAGCTGCTTACAGGTGCCCCCTGATTTTAAGGTGACTCTTTGATCCAATGGTCACAGCTAAGGGCACAGAGCCGGATCTACAGATCATGAGCTGGCATCGCCACTAGCCTGCAGAATTACCTTGGGCAAGCAATTTCACCTTTCCATGTGTCAATCACACAGCTAATGTAGTGACTGCTACATTCCCAGTAACTTTTTGGAAGCAGGCTTCTTTAAGAAAACCTACAAAAGACTTTCTCATAAAGAACTAGAAAGTGTCAGCTTGCAGTGCTCAAAGAGGATCTGTCTCACAAGGTGTAAAGAATGGCCAGTGAAGAATACTATTGTATCATGACCCCTTGGAACAATGGAGATCCAAAGGCAATTTAAGGGCAACTTACCCATGTCAACATTAAAATACATAAGAAGAATACAAACAAGAAAATAGAACTTGCTTATGTTAATGGTGTTAATGACTGGCCTTTCATGTATGAACCCTCATGGAATATTGGCATTGATACTTTTCTCAAAACAAGGCATCCGCCTGGGTTCAAATTCCAGCAAGGCACTTATTGACTGTGAGGTTTGGACAAGTTATGTGAACATCTGTGTTGGGTTCATCTCACAGCACCACCAATCTTCTTCATGGGGTTTTCTGAGGATTAAATGAGATAGTGCACCTAGAAAGCACTGAGTGCAGTGCCAGGCATGTAGAAAGCACATGGTAAGTGCAAGTGAGGCAGAGAAAGAGGATGAAAAACTGATGAAACTTTCTGATTCATTTGAATTCCTCCAACCACCTAGAACAATGCCTGGCACAGAACAGGCATGAATGGATGTTTGGATGAATGAGCACTTATACATTCCAAGTACTATACTAAAATGAAGGAAAAAGAGCAAGAAAGACATGAGAAAGGGATAAAGAGAGAAAGCAGGAAATATATATGTCCCCCACCGAGGGCCAGGCCATTTATTACTGCCCATAATTCCATATATATTTTAACCACTGGCCACTTCACCTTACACACAAAATGGCCAATCAGGTGCTGCACTACCCTAAGTTCTGCCCAATGAGGGAATTATGCCTTTCACTGTCTTTCAAGGTCTCCAGACTGCAAAGCAGTTATCATTTTCAGCCTGCCCCCACATACCATGTTAACCCATCCATAAACCAGGTTTGGGTTTTTCTCTCCTCTCTCAGCTGGTCCTAAAGGGTAGCTCACACAGCCAGAGGTATATGCAGAGGGAAGGGCTTTCATGCAACAGAGGATGACACTGATTTCTCAATACCTACTTGGGCACCTTGCTTGTACCCTAGTCCTACTCATGCTCAACCCCAGATATACCATGTCCACCTTACAATGTATTCCTGGGCACATCTAATCTTATTACTTGGTGAGTATAGGGATGGCTAATTATAGGCAATTCCAGACACGTGGTATCCCAGTAACTCATGATGCTCGATCTCTACCAAGGTCTAGTAGCATGGCAGGAGTTGTTTTCCAAAGGGTGCATAAAGGCATATTATTCTTGATCTAAAACAACAAAGAGCCTATGTTGTACTTTTCCCACTGAGGTTTGACATAGATCCACATGGCATCTTTTTCTATTGCTGTTACCTCTAATACCATGGGGTCTTCAAGGTTGTGTAGCCCAAATAGCAGGTTGCTTTCACCAGAGCCTGGACCTGCTACAAAGCCTTTTTCCGCTCTGGGTCCCAGTCAGACCTGGCAGCCTTTTGAATGATTTTGTAAATGGACCGGAGCAATATTCTCAGATGCGGAGATAGGTTGCTTTCAGAACACAAAGAAGCCTACCAGACACTTGTTTCTTTTATTGAAGGAAAGTACAAGACATATAATTTCTCTTTTACTTTGGAGAGGGTGACCTGGGCTGCCTTTCCCCCTACTGAACCCCTAAATATTTTACTGATGTGTGTGTCCCTGAATCTTTACAGGATTTATCATCTATTCACTGGAGAGCACGTGTCTTGCCAAAATCTCTAGCATGCTAGCCACTTCTTGTTCATTGGGCCTGATTAGCATAATGAAATCAATGCAGTAGATCAATGTGATGTTCTGCCTAATGACCAGATGGTCCAGTTCTCTTCGGAGGGCAAGAGAGTTAACAAAGCTCTCAGGCAAAATTGTAAATGTATATTACTAACCACTATATATGAATGTAAACTATTTCTGATTTTCTTTTCTCGTTGGAATAGAAAAGAATGTGTTTGCCAAATCAGTGGTCACATGTCATGTTTCTGAGGTCATGTTAATCTATCCTTGCAAAGATACTGCATCTGGAACAGCAGCCATGACTGGGGCTTCTGCATGGTTGGTTTTCTGAAGATCTTTTTTTTATTTTCCAGGGCACATGAGGTTTCTCCAGGGGTCAGAGTGGTAAATTAATTGAAGATATAGGGGATGCTACTCCTGCATCATTTTAATGCTTTAAAGTGGCACTAATTTTAGCCATTCCTCCCCCAACTGTCCTGGAATGCAATATTGTTTTTGATTTGCTCTATTTTGTTGAGGGGTGTGAGGGGGGTTACACTTTCAGAGCTTTCACTCAGTTTCCCCCCCATGACATCCCTTACCCCATGGGTTGTCCAATGTGGGGCTCGTGGCAGCTACTAAGTATGAAAATCCCAATTTTACATTAAGAGAGAGAAGAAATGACTACTGGTGGGTCTATTACATAAACGGACCACTGTAAACTAGACTTTGGTCAGGACTCTGTTTATTACCTGGATCCCATATTCACTTCACTCTAAGTCTCCAAGTGTCAATATAAGCACCAGGTCTCCAAGCATCAGCGTTAAGTTGGGCCCTGTGTCCAAGAGTCCTCAAAAGTTTGGTCTTCCTCTTTTCTCCAGCACATAATTACAAGAGTACATGGCCATAGGTCCCATTGTGGAAGCACTGGGAAAACCATTACTGTGTATCCTTGCCACAGCATTGTAGGGTCCTTCCTCCTGAGGACCCAGCCCCCTCATCAATCAATGCATTTGGAGTTTGAAAACCAAATCAGGTCTGAAAACTGGACAAATAATCAAGACTTCATATTAGAGCAACTGTCCTCAGACTCCTGGGGATTCTTTTCATGATATCCTTGCTGACAGCATAGTACACCTATTGGCAGCCATCTCCTTTACCCCTAGGCACTCTGCGTTTCATTAAGCACATCTCAACTCTGTGGGTCAGGCCCACTCTGCTGCCACTCTGACCCTGCCACTCATTATGATAATTGCATCCACCTGTATACTCTTGTTTCTGGGCCCTATCACTCCCATTGCAATCCATGAGACTTGTACTTTAACAGCAACTCTGACCATCAGACCTGGCTTCAGAGGAGAGTTATCTTTGCCCATCTCTTGACCCTAAGCTATTTATGCTGTGGCTAAAAATTCAGCTGGAAAGGTGGGAGACTGGTAAAAGTATTTTTATGAAAAGGTCATTATTATTCTATAGTATTTTTTAATTTTCTCTATTCCCCTGTATCACCTAGCTGCATCCAAGAGATTGGTATGAGTATCCTGGAGAGCTGGAGAAATCATGGACCAACATCTGACTGATCCCTAAGAAATCTGAAGGTCAGAGGATTTGGCTATGAACCTGAGGTCAGCGGGGCAGAAAGAGACCCATCTGTATTGGGATTCAGCCATCTATCCACAAAGGGCAGGGGGTAAGTATACTTAAAGGTCTCTTGGCTGCTAGACACATTCTTTCAATACTGGCTTAGAGCACTGTCTGGAGGGATAAGAAGACAGCAGAGAGTCAGAATGAACCATGTATTCCTTCGGAGTGACAGAGAAAATAAAAAAGGCCAACAGATTAAATAGAATCATCTGCTTTGCAGGGAACACAAGAAAAATTATCCCTGTAAGGTAGGACCTCTAAAGAATCCACCACTGATTCCCAAGAAAGCAGTCAGCTTTGATTGTTCACTAAGCCCAAGTGAAAATCAGCCTTAAACACTGGCCAAACACAGAAGAAAAAAGAAACCACTGCCAGTCTCCTAAATCCTTTCTTGCCCTTTTCTACATTAGGGAAGAAAAATGTTTTCTTCTACCCTCCTATGTTCAGAACCTGGCCTATGAATTAAACTAACAAAAGACAGATAAAGGCACACAATTTTTATCAATATTTATGTGCATGGGCGTTCACAGAAAAGAAGTGAAACTCAAAGAAGCAGTTGGACTTGGGGGTTTATATACCCTTTTAACAAAGGAGAGGGGGTTTGGGCTTCAAGGGATGATAAATTCTGGGGATATGACTAAGAAATATATGAGGGGGACTAATGGAAGATAAAGGTTATTTTGGTAAGGCGTCCGTTTATGCAAACTCATCTTGGTGTTGACTTTCTGCCTTCAATGATAAGCATCTCTCTTTTTGTTCTGGCACAATGGGGGTACCTTTCTCAAGGGAAAATGTATGCCCTGCTTTTAGGCAGATAAGGGTTGGGCAGCGAACTCTTCCTGTATGTGTCGATTCTCAATTGCTTTCAGCTCAAAATAATCCTTATGCCAAAGTGGCATATTTTGGGGTGGCGTATTCTGATCATCTTTACTCCATCCTGTCCCCTACTCCATCTCTCCCAGACTACCTAGCTAGGAACCAAACAGGGAGTAGGAGGATAAGTGAAAAAGTGGAGAAATAGAGAAGCCAGCCAAGGCCAAGGCTAGTGAAAGGAGAAGGGTTAACTGAGGTTTCAAGCCCTTCCTGTTACGTGGAACAAGACAATTACTAAACTGAGACTCCTTGAGCAACTAAAAAGTCTAGTGGATTTTTTATCATCTAAGAACTTGAAGATAAGCTACAGGATCTGCCTATTTACACCAATAGGCCCAGGAAGAATTATTGGCCCTGAAAAAGAGAAAGACAGAGACAGAGACTGAGAGACGGAGAGAGAATACACATGTGCACTTGTGTACATTTGAGCAAAAAGTTAGGTGGGAGACAGTGAAAAAGTAAAGTTTTTTTAGTGTGTCCCACCCCATTTAACACATCAATTCTAGATGTTTTAACTTTTTTCTTAAAATTAATTGTAGAGCAAATACATTTTGGAGCTGCCATCTTGAGATCACTAAAACGATCCCTTTCTACCCTCTGGGAGGAAAGAATTTCAATTCTTGGAAAGTGTTTATTGATTTCCTCTTCTACAACATGGGATGGATTTTTAGCTATGTGTAAGATTACTGTTGTCTAGTGTGTTTTTCTCGGTTTTTTTCTTGCAGCTGCTTTTGAAAAAGCAAATTCTATTGAATTGTATAGTTTATACATCTCAGAGCTCTGAGTTTATTATCCATTATACTGTGCAACTTTTCAAAACACTTCTCATAGCTTTTCCGTGGTCTTTCTAGTCCTGGAAGGGAAAACAGCATGAAGCTCTGGAGTTTCCAATTCCCTCTTCTAATGTGTAGCTAACAGGCAGGATGACTTTGATAAAACATGATTATTCTTTCATGTCATAATAAAATTGTTAAGTCTTTCAAAAATCCTTACACTAGGGCCTTTTCTGCTGCCTAATAATATAAGAGCAGATAAATAAAGAAATTAAACAAGTTTCCTCTTTGTGACCTGAAAGTTGAAAAAGCTACGAGGAAGGGGAGGAATGATTCAGACTTTTCCAAGACTGCTGGATTTTTTTTTTTTTTTTTTTTTTTTGAGACAGGGTCTTGCTTTGTCACCCAGGCTGGAGTGCAGTAGTGTGATCTCAGCTCACTGCATTCTCTGCCTCCTGGGCTCAAGCAATCTTCCCAACTCAGCCTTCCAAGTAGCTGGGACTACAGGCCCAGCTAATTTTTTGTAGCAACGTGACTTTGCTATATTGCCCAGTCTGGTATCAAACTCCTGGACTCAAGCAATCCTCCTGCCTTGGCCTCCCAAAGTGTTTGGATTGCAGTCATGAGCCACAGCGCCCAGCTGGATTTTATCACCTCCACTTTACCCATAAGTCAATTAGAGAGGTGAACAGTAGAGCAGTGGATCAACTTAATCCTTTTCTTAAAAAAAAATTCTAGTGCATAATACAATGCCTGGCACACAGTAAATGCTCAAGACCTATGTGTTAAATAAATGGCAGCTTGGAATGTAGAATCAGGGTACCAGGATATGAGCAAGAGGACCAGACTGCTGACCTTTAGTTATACATACAATGTTGAGAGAGCTGTGCAGACCATACTGAACAGACCTACAAAGTCAAAATAATTATCCTACATCATAGTATTATATCACATCCCCCTAAAACCTAACATTATAGTTTTTTAATAACAATTGCTATTATAAGAAATCATCTTACTTTTAAGTATATATCTATGTTATAAATATATATATATACTATGTCTTTATACATACACACTCAGCTCAAAAGTTAGCATCTCCAGCAAGTAACCTTCTCCCCTCTCCTCCTCCCATCCCTTAGATACAACTAGGTCTTTGATACAGATGTAAGCTGTATCTTATATAGATGTAGCTTACCTATATCAAAGAATAGTCTACTTTGTTGACTAATCTTATCTCCCAGTCTTAGGTTAGGTTTCCTAAAAACAGAGAAGTTTGGGTGTACCTGATTTATCCAAGGCATGCTGAGTGGCAGGGTGGGATAGATGTGAGAGAAGGAAGCAGGATAGGGCAAGGAAGTTGCTCAACTGGAATGTAGTATCCAGTAAAGTTTAGCCTTAGGCTAGGGTGGAGTGTAGTGCTCTGAAGCATCTATTGCACCTGAGGACCACATCAGTCAGTCACTGGCTGCTGCTGGGAGGAAGTGAGAGGATGGGGAAGAAAAGTGATGAGCCACAGTACTCACAGCTCCTGGGGATAGGTGTACTAGAGGACAACAATGACAGTCCTTTCTATAGTATAGAGTCCATAGGATCATAAGGTCCTATGATTCAGTCCTTATGATTTTTTTTCCAACCTCCCACATCCCTTAGCACAGGGCCTGCAGAGCTGAAATCCACTGTTCCTCCTGCTTTCAGGATACTGGGGAGCCATCTTGGAAATGGATGTGAAGATCTTCCTACAGAAGCACAGCCTCTCATAATTTTAGCTGCCTACTAGAAATTCAGGAAACTCAGTCCTTCGATGTGTTGCATTAAGGCCGGTCTGTGGTCCCCAGGCTGACTTCTATCCTTACCCACCACTATAGCAGCTGACAGCGAGTCAGACTTTAGCAGTTTCGAATAGGAACTCTCAGTCCCTCTTGGTGAGCAGCCAACCTTCACAGTAGCAACCACCTTCACTGGCCAGCTGGGGAGATATTTGTTCGCAATACAAACCAAGACTTCCTGGAAAGCTTCTGTGCTCAGAAGTTGCCTGCTTGGCTGTCTCCAACACTGCTTGTAGTAGAGTAAGTGGGTAGAGCCACTGTGGAGGCAGTTCAGTATTCCCTAATGCCACAGCCAACAGTGACTGAATACTTACTCTGAGCTAGAAACAATCCTAAGTGCCTTACACATTGGCTCATTTCATCCTTACAACAACCCTATGAACTAGGTATTATTATTACTCTTCTTATTTTCATATAAAGAGTTAAAAATGTTCATACCTGGGCTGGGTGTGATGGCTCATGCCTGTAATCCCAGCACTTTGGGAGGCCGAGGTGGGCGGATCACGAGGTCAGGAGATCAAGAACATCCTGGCCAACATGGTGAAGCCCCATCTCTACTAAAAATACACAAATTAGCTGGGCATGGTGGTGCACACCTGTAGTCCCAGCTACTCGGGAGGCTGAGGCAGGAGAATCACTTGAACCCGGGAGGTGGAGGTTTCAGTGAGCCGAGATTGCGCCACTGCACTCCAGCCTGGAGACAGAGCAAGACTCCGTCTCCAAAAAAAAAGTTCATACCCTTTGATCCAGTAATTCAAAAACTAAGAATTTCCCCTTAGAAAGCAATACTTACCACAAAAGACCTTGAAACAGCCATTGCAAAATTATAACTGAGACAATGAAAGAGATCTGACCTAACCAACTCCATCTTGCTTCTAACCTCCAAGCCTTTGTTAATTCCTGGGCATAGGCTGAACTAACTTTGGGAGGAACTTAGTTTATAGTTTAAAACAAAGATGATAACAGCCTGCTTCCAAAATAAACCTCCTTGTTGCCTGGCAACTAGACTGCCTTTGTAGGACAAACAAATTTTAGCCAAAAGATTAGGAATTATGGTTTAGGAGCCACACAGCTGGAGGCTACAAGATTCTGACCCTCCCCAAATTGCTCCTGGGGATAGTATCACTATTGTAAAGCCAAAACTCAGTGCTTTAGATATTTTGCAGACCCTGCACTTGATGGATTAGCTGGCACGACCTAGATTGATAAAATGGCACATCTGATCTTGTGACCCCACCCAGGAACTGACTCTGGCTGGGTGTGGTGGCTCACGCCTGTAATCCTAGCACTTTGGGGGACAGAGGGGCAGATCACCTGAGGACAGGAGTTCGAGACCAGCCTGGCCAACATGGTGAAACCCCATCTCTACTAAAAATACAAAAATTAGCTGGCATGGTGGCACACACCTGTAATCCCAGCTACTTGGGAGGCTGAGGCAGGAGAATTGCTTGAACCCGGGAGGCAGAGGTTGCAGTGAGCCGAGATCAAGCCACTGCACTCTAGCCTGGATGACAGAGAAAGACTCCATCTCAAAAATAAATAAATAAATAAATAAATAAACTCTGATCTCTAGGCCAGACGCAGTGGCTCACGCCTGGATGTGGTGGCACGTACCTGTAATCCCAGCTATTTGGGAGGCTGAGTCAGGAGAAATGTTTGAACCTGGGATGTGGAGATTGCAGTGAGCCAAGATTGTGCTACTGCACTCCAGCCTGGGTGACAGAGCGAAATTCTGTCTCGAAAAAAAAAAAAACCTGATCCCTGAATGCTTGGGGAAACTGATTTGGAGTGCAGTGGCATGATTTTGGCTCACTGAAACCTCCGCCTCCCGGGTTCAAGTGATTCTCCTGCTTCAGCCTTCAAGTATATTAACTATGATTATTTCATTTTCGATGCTCAAATTGGGCAGTGGGACTCCATTGAAGCCAACTCCTTTGCTTTTTGTCATAGGAAAAAAAAATCATAATTGGTCTGGATCACCAGTTAATTGAAAAACTCCATAAGGCCATGACTGCCTAACAGTACACAAAAGAGATTACAAAATATACAAAAAGATAATTGTAACACAAAACAAGAATAAATAGAACATAATTAATTTTACTGATTTTAATAAGTAGCAGTGTGTTATTACATATTTCAAGAGCATTTTGGTTTAAATGAATATATATTTTTTAGTTTACAAATCCCCCCAGAATGTGAGAAAAATGGTCCCCAAAGAGGTAGAGACTATTTCAGGAAGGGTGACCAGTACCACAATTTATTTACAATAACCAAGTGGAAGGAGATCCCTGCTGCTCATTAGTACCAATGATCATACACAATAACTAATTTAAACAAAAGTCTAGCGTTATGCTCCAAGATGATAAATTAGTTATGTTCCAAAGACTAAAGGGAACTAAGTGGACTTGAATCCTTATATCTTAGAAGAATAAAGCTCAAACTAACCCTATTAATAATGAAGTCCTGATTAAGCATACATAAATTTCCAATAATTTTAACCTATCAGGACAATATATTGTGATGGCAGGACAACGGAATAGATAATGCCAGCCCAGTAAAACTTAAAACATACATCATTTCTGGAAAAGACGCCAGATTTAAAATGAAATTTTTAATCCATATGAAATACAGAGAACCATGACAAATAAGTCTTGATCGTAAGAGGGGATTTGGCCTAATGACGAGTGGCTTGAGTTTGAATCACACTGGACGTCATAACCAAGGCCCATATCTTAACCAATTGTGTACCAACCCAAATTCTAAAACTTCTACTGACTTAAAAGCGTATTTTTTTTGAGTCTGATAAATATGAATATACCCTAGGGAGATGTAAAATAATATCTGGTAAAACTATAGCAAACTTAAGACAGTAATCATCAGAAGACATTTTTTATTACTTTTTTTGGGGGGGGTTAAACTTAACCAACTAGTTATAGTTTATAAAAAATAAAACACAATTTAAACTGGTATAATAGTAAGAGAATTTTTAAAAAAAGAAGGAGAAATCTATGATATTCAAACTCTAGGTTGGATTTTTTAAACACTCTAATAATCAGTTTATTAATCATTAAATAATTTTGCATATGTTGTTTTCTACATTTTAGGTACTTACAGCATTGAAGAGATTCTAATATAGCAAACTTGTAATAAACTTCCTAAGAGTTTATTAAAGAGCTTATTAAATAAGTTTGCAACCAATGTTTAAGTATTTGGGGAGATATAATTTGTTAAATTAATAAGTATTGATTTACCGCTTGCGTAAGTACTATACAAACGTTTAGAGGAATATTTAGAGGAATAGTTATTACTAAGTTGATAAGATTTTTTAAATTGGGTTTTACACTAAATACAAATCAGAGTGAATCTTCATGCAAAGGAGTTTCCTGGATATTTTAAAAATCTATCAATAGTTATCGACTTCCCATTCGGAGACACCATCACCACCATGGTAATTTAAAAAATTTTTAAGTTACAATCCACGATAGTGAGAGAAAAAGGAAGGACAATCAAAGAATATTTTGACAACTTCCATAAATGCAAAAAGAGATGAACAAGTACTAGATGATGAGCAGGAAGGAGAAAGCCACAGCTTAGAGCTTGGCTGAGTGTTTAGAGATGGCTGCAGGTAAGGGGAAGTAAGAAGAGGAGAATATGAGGAGACAGGAGAAGGGGCAAAAATGAGGCGCTGACAGCCAGCCCCTCCTCCACCTCCCACCCCAAAACCTCAAAAAAGCGCTCTAAACACATGGAAGAAAACATCTGAGGAGAATGAGGCTGGTTGGTGAGAATATCCAGGTTTTCAAAAAGGAAACAAGAAAAGAAAAATGACATAATTCAAAGAAATGAAGTACTAGGAGTGGAATTTTTAAGCGCAAAAATCCCCCCTTATCTTTGGTTTTGCTTTCTGCAGTTTTTTTACCCATGATCTAGCATATTGCTATAATTATTCAATTATATTATTGTTGTTAATCTCTTACTCTGCCTAATTTATAAATTAAACTTTATTATAGGTATGTATGTATAGGGAACAACCTAGAATATAGAAGTTTGGTGCTATCCACAGTTTCAGACATCCACTGGGGGTCTTGGAAAGAATCTCCTGTGGATAAAGGGGGACTAATGCATAAGGGGAAGAGCTGTCTCAGGCAAGGAACATTCCTGCTGCCTCTGAGATTTACCCCAAACAGGCAATCAATTACTCCCAACCTTGGGGCCTATTCAAGTTCCTCTTTTTCTCTCTCTCTTTTTTTTTTTTTTTTTTTTTTTTTTTTTTTTTTTACCGTTATCTTCTAGAAGTATTGGTGAACGTTAGTAAGTTTAGAGTCAGAAGAGTTCTTAGGCTTAACCCAGTTCACCCTTTCCAGAATGAGGAGGTGAAATGATGCGGAGAAATTACCCCACTGGACAGCAGCAGAGTGAGGATTTCTGACTTCTAGCTCAGTACTCTCCTGCTAGCAGGGCAGTTAGGCGAGAGTTTCACATGGAAACCAGAAGCATGACTAAAATCTGGCAAAAAAGAAACAAAACCTACTCACATGTATGAAATTCCAAAGACACATAAGTGAAATTTTCAGAAAAGACTCCATCTTAAATTCAGACTCCTTGGCTGGGCATGGTGGCTCACCCCTATAATCCCAGCACTTTGGGAGCCCAAGGTGGGCAGATAACTTGGGGTCAGGAGTTCGAGATCAGCCTGGCCATCATGGCAAAACCCTATCTTTACCAAAAATATACAAAAATTAACCTAGTGTGGTGGCACACACCTGTAATCCCACCTACTAAGGAGGCTGAAGCATCGGAATCACGTGAACCCAGGGGCAGAGGTTGCAGTGAGCCTAGATCAAGCCACTGTACTCCAACCTAGGTGACAGAGCAACACTCCGTCTAAAAGAAAAAAAAAATTCAGAGCCCTTCCCACAAACTTCTATGAAATCCACAGAACCAAAAGAAAAATTTTTCCTCATTTGAAAAAATAGATAAAAGCTTTTAGTGTGTTGTTCCTTGCCATGAAGACATTGTTGGTTGAATAGAGGAGATTTGCAGTCTATCATATACTTGAGTAGAGATGAACATAATTTGTCCTTTAAAAAAATAAAAGGTATACAGAAAAGAGAAAGGCTGGGAGTACTCTTTTTTTTTTTATCCTTTTCTCTTTTTCTAATCTGCAATGAATCCAGGATATGAATAATAATGATTCTCAATTGTTATGAATGCAATCCATAAAGCATCAGCCTGGTGTATCAGAAGGAATCTTGATTATTAAGACCCACCTAATGTGAATTGCAACCCTTTCACAGACTTCAGAAAACTCCATTTTCTTCTCTGAGCCTTCATTTTTGTATCTGAACACCAAGGGGATTGGATGATCCCAATGATCCTAAGAGTTTACTAGTTCTTCCCACTTTCAATATTCTGATTCTGTATCATTAGTCCTTATTTTAAAAAATGTATCTTCTTATTCCTGTAAGCATGACCACTAGCTTTTGCAAAAATGCACTTACATCCAAAGTCTAGAACAACTGGACCTGAGATCTCTTGGCCAATAAAGCTCAAACCATGAACACTTGGCCTTCCCCATAGAATAAGAAACAGGATTGGGCTAGTCAAAAACAGTGACAATATCATAATCCAAAACATTATGAAGATTGGCATGTAGAAGAGGCATTTAAAAGCTTATGGAAAATCTTATAGCCAGCCCCAAAACAATGTTTCTCATTACATAGTCAAATGTATGAGAGAACTATGCCCCAAATTTGGAATAGGACTAGGGCTTGAAAGCAACTTGATTTAGCAGATTTTATTGGGTTTCTAAACTCCACAAAACTCTGTGCTCAAAGCTTTGGAGGACACCAAAATTGTACAACAATTGTCCTCATCCCTGGGTTCATAGTATAGAAAAGTTTAGCCATTAAGGGAACAGGTTTTGCATTCCTTACTGACTCTACCCCCACTAGTTTCATAAGTTTAGCCAAGTTACTTCATGTCTCTTTTGTTTGTTTGTTTTTGGTTTTGGGGGGTTTATTTATTTATTTTTTTATGTTCTGGGATACACGTTCAGGATGTGCAGGTTTGTTACATAAGTAAATGTGTGCCATGGCGGTTTGCTGCACCTGTCTACACATCACCTAGGTATTAAGCCCGGCATGCATTAGCTCTGTTCCCTAATGCTCCCCTATCCCTCCTCACCCTCCCCCAACAGACACTAGAATGTGTTATTCCCCTCCCTGTGTCCATGTGTTCTCGTTGTTCAGCTCCCACTTACAAGTGAGAACATGTGGTGTTTGGTTTTCTGTTCCTGTGTGAGTTTGCTGAGGATAACGGCTTCCAGCTTCATCCATGTCCCTGCAAAGGGCATGATCTCTTCCCTTTTATGGCTGCATAGTATTCCATGGTGCATATGTACCACATTTGCTTTATCCAGTCTATCATTGATGGGCATTTGAATTGATTCCATGTCTTTGCTATGGTGAATAATGCTGCAATGAACATATGAGTGCATGTATCTTTATAATAGAATAATTTATATTCCTTTGGGAATATACCCAGTAATGGGATTGCTGGGTGAAATGATATTTCCCATTCTAAATCCTTGAGGAGTCACCACATTGTCTTCCACAATGGTTGAACTAATTTACATTCCCATCAACAGCGTAAAAGCATTCCTGGTGGGGCGCGGTGGCTCACGCCTGTAATCCCAGCACTTTGGGAGGCCAAGGCGGGTGGATCACGAGGTCAGGAGTTTGACACCAGCCTGGCCAATATGGTGTAGCTCCGTCTCTACTAAAAATACAAAAATTAGCTGGGCATGGTGGCGGGCACCTGTAGTCCCAGCTACTTGGGAGGCTGAGGCAGGAGAATCACTTAAACCCGGGAGGCGGAGGTTGCAGTGAGCCGAGATCGCACCACTGCACTCCAGCCTGACAACAGAAGGAGACTCTGTCTCAAAAAAAAAAAAAAAAAAAAAAAAGCATTCCTATTTGAGCATCTGTTGTTTCTTGACTTTTTAATAACCACCATTCTTACTGCTGTGAGATGGTATCTCATTGTGGTTTCGATTTGCATTTCTCTAATGATCAGTGATGTTGAGCTTTTTTTCATGTTTTTGGCTGTATGTATGTCTTTTTTTGAGAAGTGTCTGTTCATATTCTTTGCCCATTTTTTAATGAAGTTGTTTCATTCAGGACATAGGCATGGGCAAAGATTTTATGATGAAATTGCCAAAAACAACTGCAACCAAAGCAAAAATTGACAAACGGCATATGATTAAACCAAAGAGCTTCTGCACAGCAAAAGAAACTATCATCAGAGCAGACAACCTACAGAATGGGGAAAAATTTTGCTGTATATTCATCTGACAAAGGTCTAATACCCAGAATCTAGAAGGAATTTAAGCAAATTTACAAACAAAATAGTTAATGTTTCTAAGTCTCCATTTCCTCATCTGTAAAATGGGGATGATAACAATAGAAGATAATGCCCCACCGTCTGGGAAGTGAGAACCACCTCTCCCTGGCCACTGCCCTGTCTGGGAAGTGAGGAGCACCTCTGCCCAGCCATTGCACCATCTGGGAAGTGAGGAGCACCTCTGGCCAGCCCCCGCATCATCTGGAAAGTAAGGAGTGCCTCTGCCTGCCCGCCCCACTGCCTGGGAAGTGAGAACCGACTCTCCCTGGCCACCCCACCATCTCAGAAGTAAGGAGCACCTCTGGCTCAGCCTCCGCACCATCTGGGAACTGAGGAGCGCCTCTGCCTGGCCACTGTGCAACCCTCCAAGTGTGAAGTGACAGCCTTGTGTGTGATCTTTCTGCCCTCCCCAAGTTTGCATTTTCGACATTAAAGTTTGCTTTTTAATTAAAAGTTTTAAATTGGAGAATATAAAAAATAATAATAATAGAAGATAATGTATCTAAAGCACATTGCACAGTGTCCCAGGCACAGTGAATCCTCAATAAATATGAATTTATGTATTCATGTATGTTATAAATGTTATAAGTAGTGAGGCAACAAATATATATACAGATGTAGTAAGCAGGTAACTATAATCAAGGACAAGATGGAGTGAGCATTCTAGAAAAGGTGCAAGCAAATTGTCAAGAGAGCACAGAAGCAGGGGAAAAAAGCCAACAAATTAGAGTAAGGACTCATAAAACAACTAGAATAGGTGGAGAAAGTACAGGACAAAGTTATGGCTTATTTCTTTTCCT
This sequence comes from Homo sapiens, assembly GCF_000001405.40. NCBI lineage: Eukaryota > Metazoa > Chordata > Mammalia > Primates > Hominidae > Homo > Homo sapiens. Next base: position 155,324,757 of record NC_000005.10, on the reverse strand, counting down.
GGGACCCTAGACCAAACCTCAAGTTATTGCAGTATTTGCAAAATAAAATCTCTCTAGCATCAGAAAAGTTTTCAAAGTCATAATTGACAAAGGAGTTTGGGCGACATGGTGACTCAGAGAGATCCTGGTGCTTTTCAGGGTCAAGAGGCTAACTATGCCAAGTAATTAATGAATAAGGTATGTTAGCTTACAGTCAGAGAATAAGTTGGTTCATGAAAGCCTAAATACCAGGATGAAAAATATCCTCTACCCCCATGACCTAGTTAATGCATTTGTTCCTATATGTAGTTATAGTGTGTTTGCTCCTATATTCAGCTGGAGTGATATGAGATCTATCCCTACCCAATTTTACAAGTAATGGGTAACTACCAACAATAGCTATCACCTTATGAAGCAACTATTATTAGCAGTTCCATTTCACAGATGTGGAAGGTATAGCTCGGAGAGGGTAAATAACATCCAAGCTTACATAGCCAGCACATGGCAAGAGGGCCTTGTCAGTGGTTCACCACTTCAGCATCTAGATGAGTGATGTCTTAGTCCATTCAGACTGTTATTTAAAAAATTCTTTAGACTGGGTAATTTATGAACAACAGAAATTTACACTTCACAGTTCTGGAGGTTGGGAAGTCCAGGGTCAAAGTGCCAGCAGATTCAGTGTCTGGTGAGGGCTCGCTCTCTGCTTCAAAGATGGTGCCTTGTTGCTGTGTCCTCACATGGCACAAAAGAGGGGTGAGGGAGCTCATCCAAGCCTCTTTTACAAGGGTATTTTTAATCTCATTCATAAGGGTTGAGCCCTTATGACTTAGTCACTTCCCAAAAGCCCACCTCTTGAAACCATCACATCGGGTATTAAGTTCCAACGTATGAATTGGGGAGGGGGTGGGGAAAATAACATTCAGACCATAGCAAGTGACCAGTATGTAGTGGACACCTGATAGAAATGTGTTGACTGAATGAGCTGAAAAAGTTAAGAGTCACATTTGGCACTGTTTGGCTTGCCTACCACATTACTGCCTTTCTTACAAATAATAGATAGTCGTGCGTTCCCAGCAACTGCTTCCAAGCCCCAATTAAGGATCTACAGACCCTAAATTTTGGTCAAAGGTCAGCATTCATTTTTAGTTAGAAAAAAAAAAAATAGCTAACACGTAGTGAGCACTTACCACATCCCAGGCACTGTGCTGAGTGCTCTGTGTATTAACTCCATTAATCCTCATATCAAGACCTTGATTGGATTACTATCACTATTTTCATTTTGAAGACAGAAAAGTGAGGCACCAAGGGATTACAGAAAGTTGCAGAGCCAACATTCAAACCCAGGCTTTCTGACTCCACACTCACAACCACCACAGCACACATTGTACTTCCTTCGCAATTTCATCACGGGCATCAATCAACTTGACTTTTAGTCCTTGACTGGAGAAGTAATAAACAGTGTGTCTTCTCTCCTCTTAGAATAAATCTTGATGGGACTCCTCAAGTGGTGACTTCTTGAGGGGAGCTTTGCTGATCCCAACCATAAAACTAGTTTCCAGTAGGAGAAAGGAAGTATAGCCAATGGTGAGTGATAAATGGGTGGGATATTGAATGTGAACAGAGCATTAAGTGAGTGACAGCAGCTGCCTTGTTCATCTTTTACCTGCTTCCTCTCCTTGTAAAGTATTCACCCTACTACATTTTAATGAAAAGCCTGGCTTGGGCCATGATTTAGTGGCTTTCTTAAACATGTGTCTCTCAGAGATGTGCCTGCAAGATATCCTTTCTCCTGACCTTGGAAGTTCAAAAGCAGAGTCAGGCTCATCCCTGCAGTGCTGTAGGCAGTTGCTAGGAGATGGGATTTCAGTGGGTAGGAAAGGCTCTTCCCTAGGAAAAAAAGGAAGGGGAGAGCCAAATCTTCCTGCTCTAGGAAGCCTCAAACTCCTCTAAGAGGGAAAAAAGAACTTTCACTCCACAATGACAGATGAGCCTTATGTGCAAAAGCTCACACACAAAAAAATAATGACCTCAATTCTCATTAAAGAGCTAATATCAAAGCATTTCCTGATTGTCATTATAAATTGAAGAGTAAACATGGGACTAGGGCTCCCACAGAAGAAGGGGAAGGGGTAGGATAACACCCAGTTCACAGATAAGGCTTCAAGCACCCTCCCTCCCTCACCTCAACCTCAGGACTCAGTACCTTGCCTCTGGGTCTTCCTGCAATGTTCCCTTTACCTGGGACCCTCTCCCTCCCCAGTCTTTACCATGAAAATTTGTTCTGCTCATCCTCCAGTGCCCTGCTTGAACATCTGTTTGTGTATCTTCCCACACTTCCCACATAGCTCACCCATTCCTGCTCCCGTAGCACTTTTACATCCTTTTATCATAATTATTCATATTTTTAAAATAGGGGAGAAGGAAGAAAAGAAGGGAAGGAAAAAGGCACCACATGCCTTATTTCATGTCAGTACTATTGTGAGGTACACACTATTATTTCCAAATGACAGATGAAGAAGCAGGCTTAGAGATGTTTAGTAACCTTCTCAAGGCCACAGGGAAAATATACTGCAGAGCAAAGACTCTACCCTGTAAACCATTTAATCCCACCTGGCTCTTAAGCCCCCTTCCTTATCAGAATTTATCATTTGCACTTCATGGTAGTCTTTCCCGGTAGATTATGAACTAACTCCTTGGAGCAAGAATCCTAATTGAGAGCTTCATTTCCCACCACACCCAGCTCAGTGCATGGCACAGACTAGGTAAAGGTTTGCTGAAGGGAAGAGGAAGGAGAGAGAGGAGAAAAAACAAGGAAGGAAGCAAAGAAGGAAAAAAAAAGTGACTCGATGAACAAGGAGATGGGGGAGGGTGTATCTCAGTGCTACAATTCAGCGTGTGCATGCAAAAGTAAACCCAATGAATTCACGCATAGGTGCTGGAGCTCTGTCACCAGGTGGGCTCTAAATTGCAAACAGTAGAGGAATTGCATTAACCTGAAATAGTGTCTGATACAGATTATGCCTCCTATCTACTATGAGCACAACTCTTCTAAGGATATTATCTAATAGCTGGGACAATTTTGCTTTGTGAGAAATGCTGTTTTTTAACAGTCACTGAGTTAGACCCATTTAGTGTGCTTAGGGCTGTGATTTCCAATTGCGTTGCAATTTTGACAGCCTATCAGTGCTTGGCCTCAGGATAGCAGAACCCATCTTTACCGGCACTGTATAGCAAGCTTTTATTGTTGCTGCTTTTGCTGATTACCAACATACAGTCAGCTCATTGCAAGATTCCAAATAATGCTGAAATGTATACTTTATATATAAAGTGGAAGTTCCCCTGCCTCTCTTTCTCAGCTTCTGTTCCACCCCTCCCTTGGAAATAACCACAAAGAACCATTGGCATAAATACTAATACATGTGTAGTCTTTTACACAGATGGGATACTACACTTATATACAATCCTAAAACCAGCTTTCCTCATTTGCCAATTTTGGACACCTTCTTGTGCCAGTTCAAAAACTTTTTCATTATTTTTATATTTCCCTATGGAAATGTACCATTGTTTATTCAACCAATTGCCTACTGGTAGGTATTAGAGTTGGCTCTACTTTCCTTTCTATTAAAAATAAGGTTGGCTGGGCATGGTGGCTCACGCCAGTAATCTCAGCACTTTGGAAGGCCAAGGCAGGATATCACTTAAGCCCAGGAGTTCGAGACCAGCCTGGGCAACATGGCAGAACCCCATCTCTACAAAAACCACAAAAAATTAGCTGGGCATGATGGTGCATGCCTGTCCTCCCAGCGACTTGGGAGGCTGAGGTGGAAGGACCACTTGAGCCCGGGAGGTGGAGGTTGCAGTGAGCTAAGATCATACCACTACACTCCAGCCTCAGGGACAGAACAAGACCCTGTCTCAAAAATAAATAAATAAATAAGGTCATGTCTTTCTAGAGGTGTACATGATGATGTAGACGGTGGCATGGGTGACATAGATGTAGATACAGATGAGATTATATATATAATCTTTACATGGATATATATTATATATAATCATTATATGGATACAGAGGACATACATATATATCTTCAAATGTTATGCAAATATTCCATAGTCTAGATTTCCGGGGTGAGATTTCTGGGTCAATGTGCATGCACTAACTTAGTTTTAATAGATATGTGGAACTACCCTTGAAAAATTGTACTAATATATACTCCTATCATGTGCTAAAAATGATGAAAAGGTCATTTTTGAAAGTACAATCCAGGCAAATAACTTCTTTCCTAAGAGCTTTGGTTTTCTTTGTTATAAAATTAGAATATCTCTAAGATTCCATGTCTATGAAGAGAAGGTAGAGAGTATTAGAAACCAACTTGGAAATCACTCCTTTAAGATCATAACACTAGTGTTCTGAAGGAATTCAGCTGAACTCCAAACGTGCCTCACAGGTTTCCCCATGTTTAGAAGCAATAGGGAATACTTTCTGGTTCCACTTCTCCCCCTCCCCAACCACCCACACAGTATTACTAAAATGGCTCATCAAACTCCAGGGCTCCAACCTCAGAGAGCTACAGGAGCCAGGGGGTGAGGTCAGGAGTAGAGCAGGTCAGGGTGCCCCAAGTTGAGTGATGTTTCTACCACTACCATCCCAAATCCCAAGTGTTAAGTTGCATCATAGACTTTAGCATTTGTGTTATATTTTCATGTTAACTGGCCAAGGAGAAACTAACTTACTAGAGAGAAAGAACATGATAGGGATTGCACATCACTTCAAGCCATAGGTAAAACCTAGAAGTCAGTATTATCTTGCTTGGCTTTAGCACAAATTGTCTGGCTCTGCTCCTTCCTCTGAAACCTGAAGCCATTTAACTTACTCCTTCCCGGCATCTCCATCACTTTTCCAAGTTCATTTTTAACTCTGATGCTGAGGATGAGAGAAAGGTTCATTCATATAGGTAATAAATGAGCCCCTGACTTTGGAAGAGGGATAATTAGTGTACATTATCACTTGGGCTAATGAGATCAGAGTGGTGCTGTCCGCGCCCAACATGCCTAATCAAGAATTTAAATTAAGAAGTCCCATTCTCTGTGATTAAGGAGATATTCACTGAAACACTGCACTCTTAATTCTTTTGTGTTTTCATTCACCAGCTCAGTATCAAATGTTTTATGACACTGAAAATATGCTTAGTTTAAAAGGAACAGATGCCCAAATCTCCTTGTGCTCCTTTAGAGAGACAACCTGATTTTTCTTTATCTGGGTTGTTATCAGCCAGGATTACACACAACACGGAGACATAGAAGTGATTCTAACTGAATTTTGGTGAAATTGTTTTTTATGAGCTATATAACCAGAGCTTTAACAAAAATCCTACTGCCATGGGGAAAAAGAAGAGGTTAGACATGAAAAAAGGTATAAAGGGATGTGTCTAAATTCTATCATAAAACCTCCTTATTTTATTTGAACAATCATTCTGGTAGGGGCAGGGAATAAAGTGCCCCTGAATTACCTGAAAATGCAATCCAACAAAACTTTCATGAACTTCTATTCTATGTCTGACCTTTGTAGACACTGCTGCGTAGAGACAGTGCAATCTGGTAGAAAGAGATCAATGTTTTCTTTCAGATCTGGATTCAAATCTTTCTCAACTACCATCTACAAAAAGGCCTTACATAAGACACTCAAATACGCTAAGCTTCAGTTAGATTTCCTACTTCTTATAAACTAGACTGCTTTAAAATTGAGAACTTCCCATCAATAGACACCATCAAGAGAGTAAACGTCAAGCCACCAATGTGGAGATGCTATTTGCAACAAATGTAATAACAACAGCAAAAAATAATATGCAGAATATATTAAAAATATCCTGCAAATAAATAAGAAAAAGACAAATGATCTAATAGTAAAATGGACAAAAGCCTTGAACATTTTATGAAGAGAAAATCCAAATGGCTAATAAATATAAGAAAAGATGCTCATCTTCATTAGAAATTGGAGAAATGCAAACTAAAATCCCAAGATACTATTTCGCATACATCAGAATGGCCAAAAAAAAGAAAAAAAAAGTCCAGCAATATCAAGTGGTGGCAAGAATATAAAGCAATGGACTAGTTACCCAAACTAATGGGAGTGAATTTTGTTATAATCATTTTAAAATATTATTTGGCATTAGGTGATAAATTTTAACATAGGTGTAGCCCATAACTCAACAATTTTCAAGCTTCAACTTTAGATATCTGCTCTTAGGAAATTCTAGCAAATGTGCACCAGCACTCAATACATGTTTATAGCAGGAATACTCATAGTAATAGAAAATCTGGAAACAACCTAAATGTCTATCAACTATACAGTTGATCATGTGTGGCATATTTATCCAGTGGAATATTATATAGTGGGAAAAAAGGAATTAAAGATATAAGACACAATATGTGTAAGCCTCAGAAACATAATATTCTACAAGTTGTAAAAGCAAGTTGTAAAATAATAAATATAGAATGATTTCAATTATATAAAGTTTTAAAATATGCAAAATTAAATCATATATCAAACCCACTAGTCTGACTTCAGAACTCATCACTCATAACACAAGCCTATCACCTTCAGTGAGAGTAAGGGAAGTAGAACAAAGGGATACAAAAGTGACCATAGGTGAAGATTTACCCCAAAATCACTTGGACCTCATGAAAAGACAATAAAGAGGTATCTACAGAGTGAAGTGAGTGGATAAGGAGGCCAAGGGAAGAGACAGCAGTGACCTCTATCTCGGAAAATCATGCATGGTAAGCTAGTCTAGCAGGGTTTTGATGACTTTTCTATGCAATATCTTACTGCTTGAGGCCCATTAACCAGAGCTGAAGCAAGCAAACTCTTCCAGGCCAGCATAGTGAGAGAAACATGCCTACCAAGAGCAAGCCTCTAGAAAGCATTAGCTTGTGCCACTCCTTAAGCCCCATGCTAAGTCGCAGTCAGGATTCTCACTCACACCTAGCATGGAGTCCTTCATTCTCTTCTCCAGTGAAGAAAAGTGGAGAAGAAACAAGCAGGCAGGAAGCACCTGCTATGCTCTGGACATAACACACAGGACCACATCTAATCTTCAGGGCAACCCTGTGCTGTAGTTAAGATTATCCCCGCTTACCAATGCTCAGAGATGTTAAGTAAATTGCTAAGAGCCACAGAGCTAGAAATTGACTAGATTGGCATTTGAATCTAAGTCTACCAGTGCCAAAGCCTCATAATAATCCTGGGCAGTACAAAACCATCCGCAGGCAACTTAACCTCTGGAGGCCACGTTGAATGAGAAAGAGTGGTAGAATAGGCATGGAAGAGAAAATAGAAGAGTATAAAGTGTCAGAAGTGACATCAACTACACAAAACAATGGCTTGTGGCTACAGGAAAACCAGTCTCCCCAAAGTGCACCAATTGGAAGAGAACAAACACACAATTAGGAGATTTTCTTATGGGAGATTTGTGAAAGGAAATGGAAACCCAAAGCTAAGAAAGAAAAAATAGTAATAAAAATTATGGATCTCAGAAAAATTATATCCTCTTAATAAATTTTGAAGTCCACAATACTGTATTGCTAATTATAGGCACTATATTTTATAGCGGATTTATAGAACTTAGGGCACTTCAAAATTTTTTAAGAGGGTAGATCTCATGTTAACTTTTCTTATCATCATAAAAACATAAATAAGCTGAAGGGATACTAAGAAACCTTGGTTAGAGGTGTTGGACATGTCTATTACTTTGATTGTGGTGATGGTATCACTGGTGTTTGCATATTTTGAAATTCATCAGATTGTACACATTAAGTATGTAAACTTCTTTGTGTATCAATTATACTTCGATAAACCTATTAGAAAAGAGCACTCCCACTCTAACTTTTGTTGCGACCAAGAGAAATCATTAATCCTTCTATTTAGATCAGGGTTGTAATACCATTCACCACTGAGCTTTCTACACCAAATCCCTCAAAATAAATCCAAGCACCTCAGTCTGCTCCACTCCTTCAAATTGGAGAAGTTAATAAATTAGCTATCAGAGGCTGTTTCTGTCTCCCTGCTCACCCGATTAATGATAATCTACTGGGGATGAACACAGTGTTCAGGCCTATGTCAGGGGAACATTAAGGGAATTCCAATTAATTCCTCAGAAACTAACTTTCCTTTGACAGATTCCTCTGCAGAAAGCCCCTGCATTTATCTCAGCCTAACAAAGCTGTCATGTGATCCAAAGCCTTTAGAAAAAGCTGCCTTTGACTCAGACCCAGTACTGCGGGTAGAGCCAGTCACGGCAACAGCGTGTCTGGCTGGGATAGGCAGGAGGGTTGTGGTCTTCCTGCCCAACTCGTATCCCAAAACTAAAGCCCACCAACACCTCACACATTTCCGTGACCAACCAGTCTCTCCATAGCCTTCATTTATTCCCAAGTATTGTTCATTGCTATCATTCGTGTAGTATCCACTCTATCCCAGGCACACGACGTATTGGCTTTTAAGAGCACTGCCTCTGGGGTTAGACTGCCCAGACTGGAAAGCTGACTCTGCCTTTTACTAGCCAGGTGACCTTAAGCAAATTGCTTAACTTTTCTGAATCACAGTTTCCTTATCTATCAAATGACTACAATAAGAATACGTCTACGCACAGGAGAATCACAAGATTGAAGCCCCTCAGGCAATACGGGATGCAAAGAAAGCTTCATAGATACTAACAATTTGATTATTATTCTACTGATCTTGTTTAAACCAATAATCCACTTTACACCTAAAGAAAGCAAACTCAAAGAGGTAAAGCCATTTGCTACCTAAGGATATACAGCTCATTACTAAAAGAACTGGGTTTCAAATCTACTTCAGGATGATGTCAAGAGTAGGATGCATCTTTCTCTAAACTTGTTTTTCTCTTGGATTTTCTTGCAAGTTGTCCTTCTGAAAATGAAGGAAGCCTTCATTTCTGGACTCACTTCCGACACCCTCCAGAGGGAAGCCCCTCTCCAAGAGGTTCAGGATCGATTCAGAATCCAACAGGAGAGAGATTCTCCCACAAGATGGGAAGAGTAAGAATGAAGTGTGGTGGCATCACCCAAGAGCTGGGTCACTGCCTGGCAATAGGCAGATCTCATTCACCTTAGCCATTAACACGCCACCCTAGCATGAGCTCAGATCGTCACATGGAACAGCTCAAGGAAGTAGACTTTCTGAGCACAACCTGGGTCCCAATTTCAGAAGAGCACAATAAAATTTGAGAACATCCAGAGATTGTGAAAATCCAATTTGGGGAATGTAGGGTCTTTGTGGATAGAATAAAAACTTTGAAGGGTAAGCTCTTAGTTTTTAGATGATTTGAATATAAGCCAGTTTTTCCATGGGAAATTTATCCTTAGACTAGTTTGGGGCCATAGTGGGGCAGCCTGGTATTTCATAAATGGTCAACTGCAATATTCAGATATTGGTTGTCATCCTTGTAGGCAGTGGCTGTGGCAACTCTGATTCTACAACTTTGGAAGAAAACTATTAACTTTGAAGTTAATAATTTAATTATAAACTTTGAAGTTTTAACATCAACTTCAAAGGCTAGGAATGGCCCCCAAAAGATCCCAGTTTCCTTGAATAATCTTTATGTTTGGGAATTATACACTTATGCTAAATGTTCCAAATACCCCTCTACTCTTCAACATTGATAAACTCCCTTCTCAAAAAGTGGCCAGCTCTTTCAGGTCTTCTGAGTGACTTTCTTAATATAAAGGGCAATAGCATCGTATCCTAAAGCTTATATGGGAGGAAGCTAAGTGAATCATGGCCAATACAAGGGAAGAACGCTATCCTCTGCACATAATCTCTTCAGTTTATCTTTTAAGACCCACTTTAAGTTCCATCTTTTCCAGAAAGCCTTCCTTAATGACCTCAGGCATAACAACAGCCAAATAGACCATGAAAACTCTTAGAAATGGACTCAGTTGGCCCCTTATTCTTTACTATTCTATTCTGTGATGATAATTATAACTCAGTGCTTTATTACATCATCACTGGATGTTAACAAATACATTTATCATGTTCTAGAGTTCACCGTTCAACTGTCGTGTGTGTCTTTTCTCTTTAAATTGATTATAAGCTCACTGAGGAAAAGGGACCATATTTTCCTGCTTTGTGTTCCCTTTTGCCTACTAAGGATTATGAAATAAAACTGCAGCTTAGTGAGGACTTGCTGATGGGTCACTTGAAAATGACACCATTTGGTTGTGTCTTGCCAAACTTTTGGTAGTTTTATTAGCTTTTATTGGTCCTATCATGAGTCAAGAAAACATAATGAAACCATTATACCTAGGCTGGAACTTCTGGTTAAAAAAAAAAAAAAAAGAAAGAAAAGGTTAATTTTCGTCCCTGATAATTTTAGGAGGCCCTTCTCCTAGGAATTCACTTTTACTTGAGTGAGACCAAGGAAAGAGGAAATAGGAACAGTTATGTCTGGAAAGTGCTGGTGTAGGCCTTACAATAACAAGCTTTAAAGGATTCCTAAGATTGAAACCAACTTTGCAAAATTATGACAGTAAGAGAAATCTGACATAGTTGGTTCCATATTGTTTCTGACCTCCAAACTGTCCTTGGTCATTCCTGGTCATAAGCCAAGCTAACTGTGGGAGGAATTTCATTTATAGTTTAACTTGAAAGCAAGAATGACAAGCTACAGGAGAATCCACAAATATTTATGAAAGTATAAATCCATGCATGTGCAACTGAGTTTCATGCCTCTTCGTGGGACCCATGCCCAAAAAATGGAAGTGTTAATATGATCCAGGGTAGAGTTTTCAGCCCTCTAATGTCAAATGGTGAAGCACTAATTAGACATAAAACTAATCCCCTCCCTATTTGGGTGCTGAAACCACCTTTGTGAGACTAATGAGAGGTCGCAAGATAGGTGTAGTTTCTATAATCTCTTATTGCTCAGGGGTTGTATGCTCCTATAGATAACATCACTCTTCTAGAACCTAAGACTGGTTTCTTTTGAGATGTTTTTCAGATTCACCCCACCTGGATTTCTGACTCATGACTCAACTGATCCTGCGGCCCCACCCAAATGCAGACTCAGTGCATGAGGATTGTTTTCCATGCCTTTATGATTTCATCCCTAACCAACCAGTAGCACTCATTCCCTAGCCCCTGCTCACCAAATTGTCCATAAAAAAATCTAAGCTCCAAGCCTTCAGGGAGTCCTAAATTAGGACCATTCAAGCCTGGATCTGGTAGCAACCATCTTTCCTGACTATATGAAGGAAAGTAAAGCCATGAGATGGTGGGAGAAAGATAGTCTCCCTGGCATCATTTGAGCCACTAAATCTAGGTATGACCGCATCCTTCTCCAACCCTGTTCTTCCCAGCTGGATTTTCAAGTTTCTAGAGACATTCATTCTCTTCTCACTTAAGCCAGTATAACTCAGGCTTCTGTCACTTACACAGAAAGAATCCTGACAAACACAGATAGAATGTCTAACAAAAACAGAAAACGTACTCCATTAGAATATGAACCATATCTGTCTTGTTGTTGCTATATCTCCAGTGTGAGAAATAAAAATGAAATCCCAAGCCCCCCAGCTGGCTGAATGGACCCCTTCTTGGCCAAAGGAACCCCAGAGTAACCTTGAACACTGAGTTATTGGCCATGATGGGATGGGAAGTCAGACACGCCTCATCATATCTTCTCTCTTGCTAAGCAGCATTAGGCTTTCTTCTCTAAGGGCTCAACAGAAACCAACCCTGTCAACAGACTCCAACACCACTAATATCAACCTACCACCTGACTCTTGTCCCTCCCTTTTGTAGTTTCAACAAAATAATACACAGCATTTCTTTCTGGTAAGAGACCACCAACCATGGAGTGGTTCTGGCCAGCTGATGGAGGATGCATGGTAAGAGTTTCCAGTCCTCTGCTTCACTTTTTGACATCAGAGGGCCGAAAACTCTCCCCTTGGATTATGCTAACACTGTCATTTTTTGAACATGGGTCCAATGGAGAGGTATGAGGCTCAATTGCACATGCATACCTTTCTGCTTTCATAAATATTCATGGATCTTCCTATAGGTTATTGAATATATGTATCTGGCCATCCTGCTCAGCATACATTCCTGTTCCATTTGCCCCTCCCTTGAAGGGTCTGTTTCCAGCTTCTGGCTGGAGGCTATGCTTCCCAGCCTCTCAGAAATGGCCACCTGCAGGCTGCAACCCTTTATGAGAAATAAAGCTCTCCTTTCCAAATTTATGAACTTCATCATTCTTCAGTTTACAAGTGTTTAGCTTGATAATTATTCGGTAAATGACTGCATAAACGTCTTAGGAATCCTAAATACCTCAGCAGATACTGGCCCTGCAGAAAAGAAGCAAAAGGCCCAGCAGGCATCTGAATTATCCCCATTTATTCTTTGAGGAAGACTACCCATTTCTTCTCTTTATTCCAGTCTACTTTATGAGATTGTCATGAAAGCATCTGACAATTTATTGGTTAAATACTCCAGCTTCCTAACCTAACTCCTTCTTGGTGATTTACTCAATTTTCAACTATGCCTTGTGATTAGAATGCTTTTTGTAGTTTCTATAATATATGGCTCCAATAACTTTTGGCTCCTTCTTCATCCATCCCCATTCTCCAGCATACTCCAGACCCTCACCAAACTGTAAAGAAGTTTTCTGGTAGGATGTTCACTAGATGTTTTAAAATAACTTCATTCCCCAAAGTAGAACCCTTCAGCATGGTAACTTAGCAACATGACAAAACACCTCCACAAGCAAAAAGAAGCAGGAAAGAATTGGTCTTTTGTCATACTTACTTATTTGCAACAAGTGTGTTACTTACTGATAAGCAAAATAAACAAAGAATTGCCACCATTCATATGTTTCCTCTGCTGGTGTTGACAGCGATGTCTGTATACAAAGAGGAGGCCAACAGAGCCCATGTATGCAAGTAGGGTCTGGCAAATCCACCATATATCTGAATTCCTCAGTTAATTTTTCATCTCCACTCATCCATACAAAATACTGGGGTCTTAAAAAGAGAAAAAATATTTGGAATAAATTTTTAAATGTGATCTTTTCCCTATGCCTTGGCATCAAGTTATGGAATATGAAAGCAAAATGTTCATATGTATTCTGGGCACCAGCCGTGGAGACCTCACTAAGGTGAGAGTTAATCTATCTGATGGTACCAATACAGTGCTTGGAATTAAGGAAAACATGCTGTGGATGCTCCCTGTGTTTTAGGTCTGCATCCAAAGTTGCTAAATGGCCTTAATGAGTCACTAGGTCATTAGCAGTGGTGATGAGGAAGCATGGCAGAGAGTTGGGGCAAACATCAAGAAGCAGGTACTCCAGATAAGAGGAGTTTGTGAGGCAATGATATTTGTGCCTTCTGAGTTCACAGATCCTTTCTGATGTCACTCCACTGTACCATGGTTATCAGCCAATGAGATCATAAGTGCCATCTCAACGTTTGTTCAAAATCACGTTACACTGATAATGCAATTCCAAAATGTCACCAGAGTGATCTTCCTTATGAGCGGATGACTCCATATCACTTCACTGTTGAAAGTTCTCAGGGAATGCCCACCTCCTACAGGATAGAGGCAACATTTCTTCGCAGGGGACACCAGGCCCTTGGTGACATGGGACCTCTACACTCAGCCTTGTTTCTCACCTGCATAGTCTCACACTCATATCTCCAAAAGCACAGGCTTTCTCAACATTTCCACTCATCTCCCAGTGATTTGTCTTTATTCATTGCTTCCTTCTACTTGGCCACCCCACATCACCCTCAGCGGTCAAAGTCATACCCATCTCCTCTGAATCCTACCCTGACTCCTCTTCGCTCCACACATCCACAGGCTGGGTAAGTTCCCCTTCTTAGTGCTCTATAATACTCTATACCTGCTGCTCTCATTGCATTTGCCATGGGTCATTATAATTTTTCTGTTTACAAGCCAGTCTCCTCCACTAGACCAAGATCTCTTTCTGGGCAAGAACCACATCTTAGGCAATTCTGAATCGCCAGTGCCCGGCACAGCAATTGATATACTGGAAGCACTCAAAAAGTATTTGTTGAATAATGAATAAATTAACTTCTAATTTTTCCCCAAAGTAAATCATAATTCCCCTTAAGGCACACCCACAAGTGTGTATGTGTGTGTGTGTGTCAGAGAGAGAGAGAGAGAGAGAGACAGAGTATAAACATACACATGCATATGAGTGTGTAGGCACACATACACCTTATTACAACTTTTCAAAAGGAAAGAAAGGAATTATAAAACAAGACAATCTCAGCATTAGAAAGTATAATACCTTGTTAAAGGCTAACCTTTTTCTATATGTACACTAATTCCTTCTGTATCCAACCCAATAATTCATGTCCAACTTGTACATCTTCAGTGACTGATGGAGAACTTACAACCTCCAAAAGCAACCTTTTCTATACTCAGGCTACTCTGAGTGTTAGCAGGTTCTTGCTTATGATGAGCTGAAATTTGCATGACTGTAAGTTCCACTGACTCCCTGGTCCTAGCTCTGTTTCCTAGAACTACACAGAGCAAGTCTAATCCTTCCCACATGGCAGCCCTTCAAATATTTAAAGAAGGCAAATCTTCTCTTCTCCAGAGTAAACACCACAAATTCTTTAAACTAACACCCAGACATTTGAGTTTAGAGTCCCTCTCACAGTCCTGGTCATTCTTCCTGGACATACTCCAGAATCATCCCTCAGGATCATCTGTTAAAAGCTGTACAGGTACATCTTGATATGAATTCTAATTCTTCAGCTTTAGTGAACATTAAAATCACCTGGGGCACTTGTTAAGAATGTCCCTTGGGGGACTCCACCCACAGAGCTTCTGATTTCATGAGTATGCAGTGGATTTTAGGAGTCTGCATTTTAATAAGTTGCTCAGCCAATTTGGATATGGGAGGTCCAGAGACAACTCTTCAAGAAACATTAATTTAAGATGTCACCAATCTGTTTTCTCTTCTGCAAATGGGGGTCAAATCAGTCTTCCTCTCAGATCACAAGGTGAACTGAGACCTAACTCCTAAACTGTTTACAAAATACTGCTAAATATTGAATGCACATTAATAATAATGAAATGGGAATCAGGCATCCACTAAGCCTTCACATTTAGCAAAAAAAAAAGAACTGCCAGATGGTGTCCCTTCATGAGAGACTGAGTTAGAAAGGTTGGTCTAGGGGGTGAGAGAGCAGATCTGATGTTCTTCATTGTTCCAAATGGCAGTCTTTAAAGCAACATAAAGATAAATGACCTGCTCTCTCTGTTTTCTGAATGTGTCATGGGAAGTCTTTTCCATTCCATAAATAGTTATATTAGCAAATCAAATAAGCTAGTGAAACAGGCAGAATCCCAGGGAAAAAACATACCAGTGTTGTTTCACTTCATTAACGTTATTACTAAATTATTAATTGTCACTGTTGATGAAATCTACTTAAAGAATATATTTAACGAGTCATGGTGGCTCTCACGTGTAATCCCAGCACTTTGAAAGGCAGAGGCAAGAGGATTGCTTGAGCACAGGCGTTCAAGACCAGCCTGAGCAACACAGCAAGACCTTGTCTCTACAAAAAATATAATATATGTAAATATATACATCATAATTAGCCAGGCATGATGACATGTACCTGAGGCCCCAGCTACATGGGAGGCTGAGGTGGGAGGATTGCTTGAGCCCAAGAGGTCAAGGCTGCAATGAGCCATGATAATGCCACTGCACTCCAGCCTGGGCAACAGTGGAAGAACCTCATCTTAAAAAAAAAAAAAAAAAAAAAAAAAAGAGTATCTTTCTATTTAAGTTGTAGAGAATGAACTATAGAGAGTAAGACAGCATAAAGACATTTCCAGGCAGAGTGGCAGGACTCAAATGCTGCTAAAAGCTCAGACTCCAGAATCAGACAGTACTGAGTTTGAATTCTGGCCTTTCCATTTACACCTTGAAGAAATTACTTAACTCTTTAGAGCTACCATTTTCTTATCTGTATAATGGGATTTTTAATGGTACCAATGTCGTTGGGTTGTTATAAAAAACAAATAATAACAAAGCAACTGGTGTGGTAGAAGGTCCCAACTTATTAGGTGTTATTTATTTCCATATCTATGTATTTATGTGTTTATTCATTAATTTATTGCTTTTTCCTTTGCCATACAATACTGTATGGAATCAGTCATCAAACTACTACTCCACTTCACAGATGAAGACACTAAGGCAAAGGTATGGTAAATCACCATGGAAACAAAATCCAGGTCATTCAGCCACCAGTCCAAAGTTCCATTTCCCACCATCCTCCTGTCACAGTGTCACCCTGATGTCAACAGAGCAAGGGGAGCTTTTCAAAGCAAAGTGGACTGGTGCCCATCCTGGGGGAGCTAGAACAACATAAGAAGAAAAACTATAGATGTAAGTTCCATTTTCTTCTGTGCATTCATTTATTCCTTCATTTCCCCATTTCATAAATATTTATTGAGCCTTTTTCCAGTGACTTGGGGACACTGGTGAGTGAAACAAACCAGATAGTCTTTGCTCTTGCTTTACTTATGTCTCTGCTCAAATGTCACCTCATCAAAGAAGCTTCCCTGACCAGTCATCCTATCCAATAGAGCAGCCCCCTCCCTGCGACACTCCTTACCTGTCTTATGTTTCCTCCATTCCCTCAAATAATATGTTTTAATTTATTTTATTCCCTCATCACCAACTATAGAATAAGCTCAGTGAAGTCAGGGACCTTCTCTAGCTTGTTCACTTTTGTATCCCCAGCTTCAAAATGGTGCCAGGCCTACAGTACATGCTCCACAAATATTTGTTGACTAAATAAATAGAGTGGGCAATCTTGAAGGGGGAAGAGGCAAGGAGGGAGAGGAAGGATGAAGTACTAAGAGGAAAATCCACTGAGGTCGGGCTAGGAAAGATAACCAGCCGTGGAGACCTCCCTGAGGTGAGAGTTAATCCAGTGGCCATGTGCCTTCATGCACAGCCAAGGGAACTACCCTTTAGCCCCCTGAGTTGCCTTATGCCTGTCAGTGACCGTTCCAAACTGTGGCTGACTCCACATTCAACAAGCAGGAACAATTCTCCCCTGTCAGATGCCTCCCAGGACTTAGCATACTGAAGATGCTAAGGGCCGAAATCGCAAGATAGACCTGGCTGGGATGTGATACTTAAACAAAATGCCCTCATAAAACCCACTGCATGCACCACTGAAATTACAGCCAAGAGAGGATTTAAACCTTGGCTTTCAGCTGGAGAAGGCACACAGCTCTGCGATAGTTTGGTTATGCTCTAATTAGTCATTAGCATACAGTGCAGGTGTCAGGTAATCTGCACTTACTAGAAAGAAATCTGCAAGTAGCAACAAGCATAAGGAAATACCAGGAAGCCATGGCAGCCCTTGGAAGAAATCTGCCATACCCTGTGCCAAATGCAGATGGTGCATTGATATAGAACTCAAAGGGTCACAGTGTATTAGAGGCCAGGGTAGGGAAAGTAGATTTGATGATCAGCTAAATAAGTGAAGTCAGTTTCCAAGCCAGCATGTGCAGTGCAGCATCTCTAGGAAAGGCTGCCTTTATACTCCCTATGGGGTGTACCAGGAGAGGGAAGACTTCCCCCACATCTCCCATTTTACTAAAACACCAGACGGCATAAAGGGATCACCACAAGCTCATAGTAGAAAAGCAAAGCAGGCAGAGCTGGAAAAGCAGCTCAGATAGGGTCAGAGTTAACCACGCAGGGATTATGACACCCTCTACCACCACCACCTCCCCTCCCATCTACCTGAAAATACATTTCCTGAAGTCTTAGCCACAACACCCCATACTCCAACAGCATTCACAACCCGAGATTAAAGCCACCACACTCTACGCCAGAGTCCAAGGATGGTGCCCCCGCTCTGATAAATGGTGGACAACTAGCCCAGGTGACTCTCCAACTCTAAACCTCTATTTCCTCATCCCTTTCATTGCTGGTAAACAGCATTATAAAAGCCAAAGTACAGAGTTTTCAGGAGAGATAACAATTTCATACAAGATAATTCATATTAAGCCATCAGCACTCTACCTGGGATTCATTTATAGGATTAGCTTTGAAAAACCTATGAGGCTGAATAAATGAAACCAAGAACAGGTAAGTTTTAATGAAAATTCAGACGACTAAAATGTGGTCCACTGCTGGGGAGAGCAGGCCTAGGCACCGGCCCTAAGCAGTCTTAGATGACAGAACAACACTGGGAAGCTGGAGATGGGCCCAAAGAGGGAGGCACAAATCAGAAAAGCATCACCATCTTCATCGCTTTGCCAATAGCATGCCCTTCCCTGCACACCCTCTTTGGGCCTCAGTCTTTTCATCTACAAAATGGGCAAAACACAAACCACTTGTTAAGGTTGGGTAAAGATTAAGTTAAGGAGCATTTGTCAAGCTGGTAGAGAGCTTGGTACAGAGTAGACATTCCATAAATAAGTGCAACCTTCTCTTTCCTTATCACAGGAGTGGCTAATTTAAAAAAAAAAATCATAAGAAGACGATGACAGAGTAAGCACACAGAAAGAAATCTGAACCCTGAACAATGAAGACTAACTTTTTTTTTTGAGACGGAGTCTCACTCTGTCACCCAGGCTGGAGTACAGTGGTGCGATCTGGGCTCACTGCAAGCTCCGCCTCCCAGGTTCATGCCATTCTCCTGCCTCAGCCTCCTGAGTAGCTGGGACTACAGGCGCCCGCTACCACACCTGGCTAATTTTTTGTATTTTTAGTAGAGACGGGGTTTCACCGTGTTAGCCAGGATGGTCTCGATTTTCTGACCTCGTGATCCACCCGCCTCGGCCTCCCAAAGTGCTGGGATTACAGGCGTGAGCCACCGCGCCTGGCCAATGAAGACTAACTTTTTATATACAGCCCAAGATGCAAGACAATTACTTTAAAATCATTCCTCTGGAGAAGGCAGGCAGCTTAGAGATGGGTAGATGGAGCCTCCCCCACATTGAGTCAAGGTATCTGGGTCTGAAGCATCTCAGGCTTGCCTGAGGTAGACGAATGTTCCCACCTTATCAGTGTATTTCTCTTCTAATTAAAATGCATGAACTCCTGTAAGCTCCAGATGCCCAGGGGAAGGAGGGGGGCAGCAGGAGGGGAGGAGAAGAGAAACAAACTCCGAGGATCCTCTTTCGTTTAAAATCCAACTTTAAAAATTGTATTGCTTAAAAATGTAAGCAACTGACCTCACCAGAGCATTCTCTATGGAGACACAGAGACACTAAAGGAGAAGGAAAGATAAAAAACAAGAACAGATGCCTAGAGGCACTTCCCCCAATGAGGTGGGGCTCCTTATGGACTGGTAGCACCCAGTTCCTTAAGACGAATCTTTCTATCTCAGCTGCACTTCCCAAGTGATAGTACGGTAGGGCACCAAGAAGTAGTTTCCATAAAAGGACTATGGACTATAATAGTACTAGTTAACCTTTACTGTGTAATCCCTTTGTGCCAGCACTTTGAATTCATCATCTCATTTAGTTCTTACAAGAATTCTTTTACTATTATTATCCCCACTTCACAGATGAGGAACCTGAGACACGAAGAAGGTAACTTTCTTAGCCCTTATAGCTAATAGATGGTAAAGATGGGATGCAAACCCTAGAAATGCAATAATAATTACTAACATTTATTGGGCACTAACTAAATGCCAGATGATGCAAATACCTTCAGTTCAACATTTCATTTAATCCTTATAACAAACCTAGGAGGTAGCTGTTGTCATGATATCCATTTTACAGATAACTAAGCTAAGTTCAGAAACTTTGGTGCCCCACTCAAGGTTACACAGCTGGTAAGTAGTAGAAACAGGACCCAAACCCAGAACTCAAATTCATCTAGTTGAAGGTCATACTCTACACACCACACCAACTAGACAAATAGCTGAGTACAAAGAAGAGGATGCAGGGTCTTATAATGGAAATATCATGGGTTGCAGAAGGCTAAGGGGCAGGGGGAGATGAATTTAACAAAGGCCATTATGAAAGGCTGCATTGAGAAATGACCTTTGTTCAGGACCTTGAATTATGCCAAGGGTAGCAAGCCTGTCAGCATAACGCATTCCAAGCAGAGGAGGGTTTGCAACAGGTGGAGAGGGCCATATCCATTGAACAAATATGGAGTCATCCAGGGCAGGCTTTGGCCCTCATTGCGATCATCTGCAGGACTTGTCAAAGCTCAGACTACTGGACCCCATCCCCAGAGTTTCTGAATCCAATAGATCTAGGATGGGACCCAAGAATCTGCCTTTCTTACAAGTTCTCAGAGGAAAATGATGTTGCTGGTCCAAGAATCACACTTTAAGAACAGGTGATCCAGGAAGCCTGGCATGAAAGATGAATGTGCAAGTGGGAGGAAGATGAAATGCAATGGAGATGAAAATGGGGAGGAAAGAGATGGAAATACTTAGAGAGCAGCTGCTCTGTGGCACACACTTTATAAGATACTTCATAGCACAAGGCAGTTTGAGGCTCTGACATCACCCCCTGTACAGATGAAGTACTTTTTGACCCAGCCCCTGTCCTCTGACCAACCCAGGAATCTTCTCTCCAAACTCCTCCTGAACTTGGAGTTAGATGTGCTCTCCCCTCCAAAACCAGCATCACACGGCATTATAAAGACTTGTTTTATACGTGTTTCCTCCTCTATGCAATGTTAGGCTTAAAATTAAGGTCCAATATTATGTGCCCCTTTGACATCTGAAACCAGGAGGGCTTCAAATGACCAATCACAAATTACCCTCCCAACACTGCCCCCACAGGTAAGGTCCTACTGATCAAGGGAGACCAGATGCTGTTCTTCCTGATTCCAGAGTAGTAGCTTCCAGTTCCTGGCCAGCCCATGGAATTATTCAAATAAGCCAATCATATCCTCCTATGGGAACCGAGGGGCACCACACCCTCTTGATACTACAAAGCCCACCTCTCACTGACCCTGGTTGTTCACTCTTTTCCCAACTACAACCCCCTAAATGAGCATATATGACTAATAAAATGCTGTTGATGCTATTTGTCCAGTGTCCGGTGTTATGCATTCAGTCATCTCCATAGCCCTAGGGTGGGAATCCTTCCACTGGGGTGAAAAGAAGTGGATTAAAACACCCTAGATGATGAGCCCCATGAGAGGAACATTCTGTCCATCTTGCTCATTGTCCTCTCCATAGCCTGGCACAGCCCCACAGCGTGGCAACAGTGAATTAAAGACACATGGTATTGAGTTGCTTCAAAACCTCATAACCACCCTCCCAGCTCTTTTTTTGACCAATGGAGGAACTGAGACTGGAGGGTTGACATAAGTTGCTGGGCCTGCTGTCGGCCCACAGCTGAAGGACAATGTCAGGGGAGAACACAGAGTTTCCCTTGCTGGTAAACAGGACCCTGGAGGCAGACCCATTCACTCTGTGGGCAACCCTGTCACACCAACTGCACTCCAGTTCAGGGGCTCAGTGGCTACAGGAAGCTGCCCAGGGTGGTTTCAAACCACCTTCCTTTTCTGCCTAAGCAAGTGCAAACATGAGCGGTTGGGCCTGATGCAATCAAAAATTTCATCTCCAGGAAGCTCTGTTCGAGGCACATGACCTTTGTGTATATTCTCATAATTCCAGAAGTAGTACATGGTGAGTTCTAAGAGGGTTGGCCAATGTGCAAAAGCATCAGGATGAAGTGCTTTGAATCTGAGGTGCCTTGATTGTACACCAGGAGTGACGCCAGGGAATTTGGGATCTACTCAGCCCTTACCAAGCTCATACCATAAAAATCATGCAGCAACAACCATGACCTCCACTTCCTGCAACCAGCTCTGTAGAAGGCTCAGTGCGTACAATATGCCATTTAATTTTTTATGTCTTTTTTTTTTTTTCTTTTTGAGACAGGGTCTTGGCTCTATTGCCCAGGCTGGAGTGCAGTGGTGCAATCATAGCTCACTGTGGCCTCAACCTCCTGGGATCATCAAGTAATCTTCCTGCCTCAGCTTCCCATGTAGCTGGGACCACAAGTGTGCACCACCAAGCTTGGCTAATTTTTTATTTATATTTATTTATTTATTTATTTATTTTGGTAGAGACAAGGTCTCACTTTATTGCCCAGGCTGGTCTCAAACTCTGGCCTCAAGTAATCCTCCCGCCTTGCCCTCCCAAAGTGCTGGGATTACAGGCATGAACCATCATGCCCGGCTGCCATTTAATCTTCATGGCAGAGCTGAGAGGAGGGTATCATGATTCCTGTGTCACAGATGAGGATTCAGAGGCCACAAGGCCTTCGTTTTGGAGGAAGACGAAAGTCAAAGAACACAGTGAGTAGCACAGCTAGGGTGTGAACCCCAGATTTTGTGGCTCCAAAGCCTGTGCTACAAATGTTGCCTTTGTGTCCTGGGTATGACGGAGGGGGATCCAAGACAACAGATGGCACAAAGTTTGTCTGCTGAGAATTTACAGCCTACATAGAGAAGAGAGAACACACACAGGGAAAAACAACTTAAGAGATCTTATAAAGCAACATACAAGGAGGCTGGAAGTCTCTTTTCCCACTATGGAAATGCTGCATTTGCTCACACCAAGTGACTTCTCTTTGGGGGTAAAAAAATTAGTATGAAACTTGCAGGCCTATTTAAAACAACATTAGTAAGAAAAGCAGCTAATATTTAGTGTGTTTTCCTATGTAACAGACACTGATAAGTGTTCCTAGGGAAAACTGAAGGCCCATTTAGAATAATAATACTTTCTTTCATTCATCAAGCACTTCATTATATACCAGGTATTGTTCTAAGGGCTTTACATACACTATCTTACATATAGTCTCAAAATGACTTTAAGAGATCATGGAAGTATTTGTTCCATTTTACAGATGAGAGTTAACACAGAAAGGTCAAGAATGGAATTTCAAACCAGAGTTTGTGACCCATTTCTGTGTTTTGAATTTAATTCAGGAGGTCATGACAAGCATTGTTTTAAATAAACAGATGAGAGAGGAAAGACTATAGGAGGTGGGAGGGGAATGAAATGAAACAGAACATATCAGAATGCATTACATGTGGTAAGGGTATTATTTCATCCATTTTATCTGTATGTGTATGTGAGTGTAAAATGTTATAAAATGAAATGATTACAGCAGGTCTCTGTGGAAGGTCTGAAAGCCACTTTGCCAGGAGTCACATAGCCAGTGATTTGCAGCCAGGGTTCAAATCTAGATAGACTATCTCCAGAGCCCACACTCTTCACCTCTAAACCAGTGCTGTACAGTAGATATATAAAGTAAATCTACACATGTAATTAAAAATGTTCTAGTAGCCACATCTAAGAAGTTTTAAAAGCCACATTAAAAATTAACTATTAAGGCCAGGGGCTGTGGCTCATGCCTATAGTCCCAGCACTTTGGGAGGCCGAGGGGGTGGATCATGAGGTCAAGAGATTGAGGCCATCCTGGTCAACATGGTGAAACCCCGTCTCTACTAAAAATACAAAAATTAGCCGGGGGTGCTGGCGCGCACCTATAGTCTCAGCTATTTGGGAGTCTGAGGCAGAAGAATCACTCGAATCCGTGAGGCGGAGCTTGCAGTGAGCCGAGATCATGCCACTGCACTCCAGCCTGGTGACAGAGCAAGACTCTATCTCAACAAATAAATAAATATTAACTATTAAAATTAATTTTAATTATAAGAACACACGGACACATAGAGGGGAACAACACACACTGGGGCCTATCAAAGTGTACAGGGTGGGAGGAGGGAGAGGATCAGGAAAAATAACTAATGGATATTAGGCTTAATACCTGGGTGATGAAATAATCCATACAACAAACCCTAATGACACACGCTTATCTATGTAACAAACCTTCACATCCTACACATGTGCCCCTCAACTTAAAAGTTAAAAAATATTAATTTTAATACATTTTATTTCACCCATCAAAAATATTATTTCAATATGTAAAAATTAATTCTGAAATTAAATCAATAAAAAATGAGGGTTCTTTTAAACTTTTTTTGTACTAAGTTTTGGAAACTTGGTGTGTATTTTACATTTTCCGCACATCTCAATTCAGACTAGCCCACCTAAAAAAAAATGCTCAGCAGTCACAGGTAGCTAGTGACCACCACATTGGACAGTGCAGCTCTAAACTATGCTATATCGAATATCCCCTTGGGCCCAGGTCCTGGTCCTCAGATTTCACCACAGGGGAAAATTCTCTGTCATGTGTATATATATATATATATATATATATATATATATATATATATATATATTTTTTTTTTTTTTTTTTTTTTTTTTTTTGAGATGGAGTTTCACTCTTGTTGCTCAGGCTAGAGTGAGGTAGTGCAATCCTGGCTCACTACAACTTCCGCCTCCCAGGTTCAAGTGATTCTCCTTCCTCAGCCTCCCAAGTAGCTGGGATTACAGGCACCTGCTACCACGCCCGGCTAATTTCTTGTATTTTTAGTAGAGATGGGGTTTCAACATGTTGGCCAGGCTGGTCTCAAACTCCTGACCTCAGGTGATCCATCCGCCTCAGCCTCCCAAAGTGCTGGGATTACAGGCGTGAGCCACTGCGCCCAGCCTTCTCTGTCATATTTCATTCATCCCGGTTAACTCCCAGTGGCCTCCTCCTTCAAGTAGTTCCAGAATATTTAAACCCAAATGCAATGTCCATTGTTATTAGTTTCTGCTCACCTTGGCTACTTTCAGATGTCATATCTTTGCTAGGCTTTGAGGGAGAAAAGCTGGTGGGAAAGGCAACCACAGCAAAGGTGTGCTGGAACAGGGTGGGGACAAAGACCCCGGATAGTAGGAACTGTGTGAAGTGTTGGTCTCCAGTGAGTTGTTTGCAAAGCTACAGGCTCACTGGCAGCCGAACACCAGCTTTTAATAGCACATTCTCCTGTTCAGTTTTGCAGACACACTCTTGATACTTCTCACTCAGCTCTGACAGAAATCAGCTGACCCCATTTCCATTTGTTTGCCAAAATAAGCAAACCATGGAATTGCAAAAAGACTGGCGCCTGGACAGTCATTGAAAGAGGAAACAGCTATAGAGGGACTTGAGAATTACCCATTAGACACTCTGATAAATATCACTTCTAAATATGCGGTAACCATGTTTCATGACAGCCCTGCCAGGATCACAGTGCTCCAAGGCCCAAGTGGCCATGACCTAAGGCGCTCCTGTGAGGTGAGGGAGCTTCATGCAGACACGTGGAAGGGTAGTGCTTCGGTGTCCAGCTGCTGCCAGGGCTGGGCAGCCAGGGCAGACATCCTCCTGCTTCCTGCACTTCGCAGCATCTCCTGGCCCTGCAACCATTGAGGCCACTGTCATATATTGAGGCCCAGAGTGCTTGTCAGTCCATTGATCTGGTTTTCAAAGGGACTGGCAATCCTCACACTGTATGGGAGAGGGGTAGCCTCACCATGGGGAAAACAAAGCTGGGACTGAGAGAAAACTGTCAGTCACTTCTGCCTAGGTAGTGTGGCATCACTCCCTCAGACTGAGAAATGAAATTGTGAGTCATGAGGGGTTTGTTTATGGCAGTGGAAGAGATCAAAAGTTCTTCTACCTTTCACCGGCTTCCCATTTACCAAGCAAGTTCTGTGTGTCAGGCCCCCTAGCTGGGTCCTGGGTGCTCAGATGCACTGCTTGCCCCCCTTGCAGCTGGGAACTCACACACCAGCCAACAAAATAGACTGCAGAGAGCACAGCATAGCCAGGGCTGTGGGAGGGGGGCAAACCACATAGGGTGGGGACTTGGAGGAAGAGATAATTAATGTGGCTGGGGAGGGTCAGAGATGAGCAACTAGTGCATATGGGATCCTACAGCTGGTTCCTTACAATTTAGGAGCACTTCTGAGCATTGTATTGAATCTCATAATTTCATTAGGTTCAATAGGATATACACTTCAGCACTGAGGAAACTGAGGCCCAGGCATCAATGTACTCATTCATAAAATAGGAATAAAGCTCAATATGAGGCATAGATTGGACACTGGATAAGGGATAGCCAAGCATAATTATTCGATAATAGAGATGCCTGACCTGTCTACTCTGCCCTCCTGCATCCCTGCAAGAGAAGCTGCCCCACCCCCACACCACAGTCTGCCTCACAGCCTCTGCACAGGACAGCCACCACATGACCATACCTATCAGAGTCTCTTCCCTAGGAACAGGGAACTGAGACCAGACACTTATTTTACTCTCTATGGACCACCTGGGCTGAGATGTTATGGAGAGCTACCTAGACAGCTCTTTCCCCCACATTCATGAAGAAGCAAAATTCAAGTCTATTTATAATAGCCAAAATGTGGAAACAACCCAAATACTCATCAGCTGATGAATGGATAAACAAAATGTGGTGTATCCATATAATGGAATATTATTCAGCCATGAAAAGGAATAAAGTACTGATAATCTACTATAACACAGATGAGCCCTGGAAACATTATGCTAAGTGAAAGAAGCCAAACACAAAATGCCACAGGTAATAGGATGATCTTTACATGAAATACCCAGAATAGGCAAATCCAAGAAGACAGAAAGCAGATTAGTGGTTCCCAGGTAGTAGAACGAGGAGGAATGAGGAATACCTGCTTAATGGATGTGGGGATTCATTTTGGGATGATGAAAATGTTCTGGAACTAGATAGTGGTGACATGCCATTCTTTTGAAAAAAAAACTGGTTTCAGTAAGTTTGTGTCCCTCATAACTAAAAATCACTAAAATATAAATGGGTATATTAATGCCTTCTCTAGGGCGCACAACTGTTAGAATCCACAGCCTGGACTCGGATCGTTGGTCCTGTGTCCTGCTGATTGCCAGTCTAACTCCTTCGCCACACTACTTCCTTACTTAACCTGGAGGGGAAAGACTTTTGCGTCTCTTAAGGAGAAAGCTGGCTGCTTCCCAAAACCTGCCAATGGGTGGTAAGCCCCCATCCAAGTGCGTTTACTTTGGGTCCTGTCAGCAAAAAACAGACTTTATTAAGAGGATGTTAGCAGACCTCTTTGCTTCCCTGCTTTTGTGAGAATTCTTAATGGCTCCAATGTGCATATGTCGTTTTTCAGCAAAATCTAGTATTTATGTCATTTCCAGGGGAAGAACATTTGCAGCCTTTGTAATACATCACTTCTCATCGTTTTGCTCCACAGCACAGGATGGACAAATCGCTCAGGTATTTGTCAGTATACCTTCCCTCACCCACTTCCGAGGTGCAGGGTTAGGCACATCGTTCACAGAGACGGAAAAGGGAGTGAGATGCCAGGACAAATACTGAGCCAACATGGCCAACATTTCCTGATCTGGCATTTTTTAGAATCCTGGATCTAGAAGTAAAGATCTTGACAGTTTAAAAAGTCATAGAACTTTTGTATTTTTTTTAAGTCAAACCTTTGATTTAGCTATAAAGTTTTAATGTTTAATATTTATGTAAAGTCAGTGATTCCTGTTGTTACAGCTTAAATTATAATATAAATAGCTAATGTTTAGAGGAGCAAAGACAGAGATAAAGATGGTGGGGTGGGTATGTATCGCCTGCTTCCAAGTTACTTACAAGAAGATGAGGGTGTGTGCATGTGAGAGTGTGGTAAGTTCCAGGTACACACTTTATGTGCATTATCTCATGATCTTATCTCACTTTTTGTGCATGATCTCAATACCAGTGAATGGTATTGTCCTCCCTTTGCAGATAAAAAAACTGAGGCTGGCCGGGCGCGGTGGCTCACGCCTGTAATCCCAGCACTTTGGGAGGCCGAGGCGGGTGGATCATGAGGTCAGGAGATCGAGACCATCCTGGCTAACAAGGTGAAACCCCGTCTCTACTAAAAATACAAAAAATTAGCCGGGCGCGGTGGCGGGCGCCTGTAGTCCCAGCTACTCGGGAGGCTGAGGCAGGAGAATGGCGTGAACCCAGGAAGTGGAGCTTGCAGTGAGCCGAGATTGGGCCACTGCAGTCCGCAGTCCGACCTGGGCGACAGAGCAAGACTCCGTCTCAAAAAAAAAAAAAAAAACAAAAACAAAAACTGAGGCTAAGGTTTCAGGATCTGCCCCAGGTTCCAACATTAGATTAGTGAAAGAGACAGTTCTGATCTCAAAGCTCCATATTCTCAATCACCATAATATAATAAAATGATTATATCATAAATATTTTAGAGTCACATATTGAGCGGAAGACAAAGTGCTTTTCAGCACTTTATAATTTGCAAAGTGATTTCACACTTAACATTGCTTTACTGTACAGACCGTGAAAGCTGTAGCACTTCTGAGATGAAAGAAATGATAAGGGGCTGGAGACAACACCTAAGATTCTATAGATGGCATGGCCTTCAGAGCATGGGTTATATTTTAATAATTAGCAAGAGAGTGAGGAAGGCAACATAGGATTGGGAAAACAGCCTCCAGGTTGCATATCTCCCAAAAGAAACTGGAAGTATGGGAGGTGGATAATAAATAGCTGTTTGGGTGAGGTATGATTCTGGTCTCTTAATTCCCAGTATGGAATATAATCACTGATGAAGTGTCACAGAGACACTTGCTTTGGGCTTCCTTCTTCATGGGCAGCTGATGATGATGATGATAGTGCCAGCTACCATTCACCAAGCAATTTAAACTTGAGGCAATCACTAGGCTGAGCACTCATGGTGAATTATCTGTTTTGATTACCTCCTCTGGTAACCAACCACAATTCTCCTGTGGGTAATCACATGCACACATTTTCAGGCTACATGGTTCTCTCAAAGCTGAATACAAGCCCAGTTCCTAGGGTGAGTTATGGGACCCAGGTCTATGACAATTGGAGCATCATATATGAATGAATACTGGCCTCGATATTGGTTCAGAGATGGACATGATAACCAATCAGAGCCAATAATATGACTTTTTCCCTGAAAGGAAACAGGGGTTGGAACTACCACTGCTATCTTATTAAAGGTACAAAGTTCAGATAACACTGTCTGAGCCTGGAATCCAGCCGTCGCCCCAGACTTTTGCATTTTGGTGACCAATAAATTGCCTTTTTGCTTATGCTGATTTGGGTCAGGTGTTCGTCGTTTTCAACGGAGGAAGCCTTAATCAATATAAGCACTTACAAATACCTCAGTTAATCCTCACAAAAATACCATGAGGTAGGTATTATTTATATGGTATTGTTTTCTCTCCCACCCCCCATTTGTTAGATGAGGAATTGAGGCTCAGGGAGGTGACATCAACCTGCCCAGCTGGTAGAGGCAGGATTTGAACCCAGACAGTGTAGTTCTAGAGCCAGCATTCCTAACCACCTCAACAGTTGTCTGGAGTCTAAGTCTGCTCTTATGAAACAGGACTCTCCACAAGCCCCACATAAGCCTTTTGACTCAAAATAGTTCTGAAGGCTTAAAATACCTTAAAGAGTGTAAATTTTCTCAAGCTCCTTTAGGTTTGCAATGATCCCTTTTTGGCTTCCGTTGTCTCCCTGAAAGGAATCATTTAAGCAATAAAAATGTCTCTTTCCAAGTCATCCTTCAACTGCTGACACTTCACTTTCCCAAAAATTACAGATAAAAATAACAATGCACAGAAGCAAAGACTACATAGCTGCTAAAAGGGATAGGAGGGAAGGAAAGAGGAGATCCTGACCAAATGTTTTCTGTGTTGGCATACAAGAAGTTTTGAACCACTCTTCAGGGTCATTTTAGAAATCTTTTTCTCAATTAAGGTGTGTTTTTGCCCATCACACACACACAAAAAAATCTTACACTGGTGGCATAGTGAGCCACAGCTGCTACTCCCTAAATGCTTTGGAAATTTAAAAATAAAATAAAGTAAATACTGGCAATGAGGACAGTTTGACACGCATATCTCATCTGGGTAATTTTCTCTCTTTGTTCAGTTTCAAAGCAATTTACCAGAGACTCAGGAACTCCTTGATGAAGGAATAAGTAGCAATCTTGAAATGCAGTGAAAGCAAGGAGACTGTGCCATGCTGGAACCATGGCCTCAAAGAACTAAAAGACCTATTGGTATTCCCAAGGCACATCAAAGACACACACTAGTCATGAGTATTGCTTGGCTTAATCAGTTTAATCAAGGGAGAGAGCTCGGAACTGGGAGCAGAAGTTCTAGTTCAGACTGCCACTAACTAACTTTGAGCCTCAGGTTGCCAATTATAAAACGACTTGAGAAGACCATATATTTTTGGTTGGAGTCTAATAGTTAAGAGGTTATATAGCATAAGGAATAAAACCATGGGCTTTGGAATCAGAAAGAGCTGCATCCACACCCAAAGCTCTGTGATTCACCATCGATGAGACCTTGAACAAGTTACTTAACCTCACAAGTCTTAGTTCTTCATCTGTAATGTGAAATAAATACTGCCTAATTCTTAGAACTATTGCAAGAGTTAAGAGAGTGGGGGGAAATACACTTAGCACAGTTCCTTGCCCAGTATGAGGAGAAAAGTAAAAAGATTAACCATCACTATTTTCATTAGCATTATTAATAAGGTTTAAATTTCTGTATTACTACAAAAGCAATAATGTCCTCATCAAAGGCCATATCACAAAGCTTCCTGGAAAATGTTGGCAATATAAAGATTTAGCCATTAATAGCAAACCTTTTTTTTTTTTTAATCATCACTGTTCTTACTAAAATGCAAGGATGTGAGGATATCCGACTAGTCCCTAGCATATGTTGACATTATAAAGACTTAGCCTCAATTTGACTCATGTGAAACTTTGAGTGCCAACAGATGGGCAGGTTACCCTGAAACCCCAGCAATGCTGCTGAGCCCAGCCACTTTCCAGCACAACCTTCATATTACCTTTAAGCTGACCTTGCGAGAAGCTTATACTTTTGTTGCATATTGAGTCAGGGCTGTTCTCCCTCAAGGACCATCCATTATCATTTGGACTCTGGCCAAATGATTAAGAGAAAGCATGCTTTGTCATCCACAGGTCTTCAGCCTAAGAGTAAGTCTGGCAAACCTCACGACTTAACAGCATCTGCTTGGCCAGAAATCTGATTTTGACCAGAGGGTATAAAACTCCCGAGAGAGGGAATATGGCATGGGATTTGGCACTACCAGAGAAGTGAGATAAATTAAATAATTGTAGGCAGGGTGTAGTGGCTCATGCCTGTAATCCCAGCACTTTGGGAGGCCGAGACGGGCGGATCGCGAGGTCAAGAGATCGAGACCATCCTGGCTAACACGGTGAAACCCTGTCTCTACTAAAAATACAAAAAAGTAGCCGGGCATGGTGGCACATGCCTGTAGTCCCAGCTACTCGGGAGGCTGAGGCAGGAGAATGGTATGAACCCAGGAGGCGGAGCTTGCAGTGAGCCGAGATCACGCCACTGCACTCCACGCTGGGAGACAGCGAGACTCCGTCTCAATAAATAAATAAATAAATAAATAATTGTAGCTAATTGTAGGTACAGTGGCTCCTTTGTCACTTGGTTTCTTGGCCTCCAGGTGGCATATCTCCCAAAAGAAACTGGATCTGGTTGAGTTATCCACCCAGCTGCCTCCAGTCTCTGAAACTCAGCAGCTCTCTGTGGTTGCACCATGACATTTAATGCTTAATTATACACCATCTGATGGTAGTCTCTGATTTCTCATGAGTTTCAAGGAAGAGTGAAGAGAAACCTAGAGTAGGAATCAGAACACCAGACCCCAGGCCCAGCTCTGAGCTCTTCCTCCATCAGACATCCTCCATGGTGCTCACACATCCATGGGCACGTACAGCAGCCATGAGGTGTGCCATGTGGATCCCCTTTCAGGAAAGGAAATATAAGGAATGGAGTTATTTGAGTCTGCAGTGGCAGCACCTCTGGATCTGCTTCAGCTTTGAAGCTGAGGCCATGTTTTTGTAGGAAGCCAGTGACTAAACATGGCACAGATCCTAGGGCCTTGCCATTTCTGCTCAACATGGGGATCCTCTACTGGGCCATCTTTGTTCTGGAGCTCTCCACCTGTCAGATATGCACTGTGGTCTGAGGGTGTCACTCCCCCAAATCCTGCTCCCTCCCTGTCTTCCTTCCATAGGTGTCAGATGGGCATGCTGATCTGACAGCTTGCCCTGATCCATCAGCTTCCTTTCCTTATACATTTTGCAGGAGTCACCACTCACTCATGCTCCTATCTCAGTCTCAACATCTCTTTCCTGGAACACCCAATTGACACAGTATTCACTTTTCTAAACCTACTTACTATTCTTTTAAAATGGACCTCCTCTTCCTCATCATCATCAATATCATCATTAAAAGAGAAGAGGATGAAGAAGCAGGAGAAGGGACAAAGAGTTCTGGAGGATAATATTCTGAGGTATAAACAGAATGTACCCTCCCAATTTCTTCACACCCTGTGATCACTCCACCACCAACACCATGTACCCTGAGGTATGCTTTGCATTCAGGGATGGTTGAGAGGGCAGAAATGCACTGAACCTGTTTCTGAGTTTTTCTGTTCCACCTTCTAAGTCATAAGAGCCAGGCTTTTTGATGTTCAGGCATTTAAGTCCTGAAGCATTAGGGACAAAGTTTGTGCCCCAACAAAATAGATTTGAAAGATAAATTGCTACAGCTAGTGATCCTCTAAATAAGGATTAAATGGACTAAGAGGAAAGGGGAGGATGGTATGTTGGAGGGCATGTGTGAGTGGAGCTTGGCATTTTGAAGGGAATGGGCCTGGAGGAACCACTTGAGGGTGATTGTCTGCAGCATCGTGGAGACCAAGCCTCCCTTTGAGAAAGCACCAAACTTCTTCCTGCCCCTGGGGCCCAGAGGGAGCCAAACCAGCACCACTGGTTTCCCAGTCTTCATCTAGGGGATACCCGGCCAAGCACTGCCACTGACGAGTGCAGCCGGCAGGAGGATTACCTCTCTGAGCTCTGAGAAATTGCTCAATCGCCATCCAACTCATGTGAGCAACCTCTTCCTCAACAGCTTGGGGTGCCCATCATCAGCCTACAGCTTCTTGAGAGAAAGGATGAACCCTAAATACCTAAAGGAATAGAGCTGATGGTGGCGTGAAAAACAAAGCAACCCTCACCCCAACTTGAGATGGTGGTACATAAACAGTGGTAACAATATTTTTATATAGTTCTATAGATAGCTGAATATATGCCAGTTACTGAGAGCTGTTCTTTCCAGACATAACTCCATGACACCTCAAAACAACCCCCTGAGATAGGTAACAATGTCATCCCCATTTTACAGACACAGTAACTGAGGCTCAGAGAGGCTCACCAAATTGCCCAGACTCACTTAGCTGTGAATGGAACAGCAGAGTTACATGTAATTCAGATTTCTTTCAGGTCTTTACACTAAACTCCTTGAGGACAGGAAATGTCTTAGACTTTGCCTCTTCCCACCCCCAGTCAGGCTAGTGCTAGGTAGCTAGAAGATTCTCAGTAAATGTTTTGTGCTTTTACCAACTGATTTAGATATTTTCCCCCTACAGAAGGAAATTTAAAAAAAACTGCTTGAAATGTGTGTCTCCAGTTCCTTAGCACCAGGAAAACTCCTGGTGCCTCAAAGGAGGTGGGAGGCAGTGAGTGTACATCCACAGGAGAGATCATATTTCAGTCTTTTCATTTCATTTGACAGGAGAAATACTGATTAAAATCAGCGGAACATGTCACAAAAGGGTAACTGGGTTCTTCATTTTTTTCTCTGCAGAGGCAGCTGCAACTGTACTTTTAGGAGATAACTCTTCATGCATAAAATTACTAACAGACACCATCTATCTGATGAATGTCTTTTCCATAATAATTTATATCACTTGATCTATTTTCAAAGGTTAGTCTTACATTAAAATTACAATTCTGAATAGGTCAGCCTGTTATTTAAGGATAAATTATTTCACCTCTTCATGTTAGTGTTGTGTTTGGATAATGATTAGGTTTTTATTTCTAGCCCCCAATGAAACCATGGAAGAAATTGCTTGTTTGACCTAACCTCTGTCACCCTGAATCCTATTCTTTGATTCACGCTGACTCACTGACAGTTCTTAGCCTGCATGTTTCAAGACACTTTATTCCCATTCTTGTCTTCTTGTTACTTTTATACCTTTTTCTCACCTCTTTGACCATCTCTGCCCATTTCCCCTCCACCCCCAACCATCCAACCTTTCCAATCCAAGAACATTCTTGAGTCCTCTCACTGGACACACAGCCCTGTATTTGTGTCATCATTGGTCCATCCCATTTCATTTCTAAAGAGGTAGTATCAGGCCAGGTGTGGTGGCTCACACCTGTAATCCCAACACTTCGGGAGGCTGAGACGGGTGGATCACCTGAGGTCAGGAGTTTGAGACCAACCTGACAAACATGGAGAAACCCTGTCTCTACTAAAAATACAAAATTAGCTGGGCTTGGTGGCACATACCTGTAATCCCAACCACTCGGGAGGCTGAGGCAGGAGAATCACTTGAACCCAGGAGGCAGAGGTTGCGGTGAGCCAAGATCACGCCATTGCACTCCACCCTGGGCAACAAGAGCGAAACTCCATCTCCAAAAATAAAAATAAAGAGGTAGTATCTTTACAGAAGGTCCACAATACCTCCTCTAGCTTTCCCCAACTGAGACTTATTCATTTAACAAATAAGAACAAGGAGTTTCTGGAGTTAATGGGAAGAGGACTAGAGAGAACCCAGTCTGAGTCCTAGAAGATCTAGGTAAGTCAGTGAACCACTCCTGTTTCCCTTTTTTTTTTTAATAGGATGGAAAAAGCACAGGCTGTGAAGTCAGATGGTATAATCTGGGGTTCAAATCCAATATTCCTCGTTACTTAGCAGCCTGGGGCAAGACAATATTTGACAGTTTGTTTTCTTTTTCTATAAAATGAGACTAGTAATCACTTAGCAATTTGTTGTAAGAACTTATAAGTTAAATAGGAAAAATATTCCACAATGCAAATTCAATAAAAGGCATTTAATA
This sequence comes from Homo sapiens, assembly GCF_000001405.40. Lineage (NCBI taxonomy): Eukaryota > Metazoa > Chordata > Mammalia > Primates > Hominidae > Homo > Homo sapiens. The sequence continues at coordinate 155,289,822 of NC_000005.10, read as the reverse complement.
AAAATGTGTTAAATGAATGAGTGTATAATCAATAGGTGGCAACTATTATTATTGAGAAAATCATTTTTAATGAAATGTTTGCTTAGCCAAGAAGACTAGAAATGGTAAGTTGAAGGAAAATAAGTTGGCCTGGTGAATAGTGGTTAAAAGAATGGATCCTTCAGGCCTAGCTTTGAGCCCTGACCCCACCAATAACAAGCTATGTGAACTTTTGACAAGTTGCTCAACCCCCAGTTTTCTAATCTGTAATTGTGACAAATAATACCCACTTCATCAGCCTTGGGGAAGCTTAAAAAAGAAAATGCCTGGAAAAGACTTGGCACAGTGCCCATCATAGTGTAAGGCCTTTCTAAATGGAAGATCCTATTGCTAAGATGAATATCAAAGAGAATGAAGAATCTCAGTTGCCTCCACTTCGTGGTACAATTATATAAGTCGAGTGAGAAAATGCTTTGTAACGAGAAAGTATATAAACACATAAGGAATTGTTATTGTTATTAGGAAAAATAATGATGCAACAAATAAATGACTTGTGTTGGAACAAATGGAAACCCCACAAGGCCTGTCTGCAATTGACATGTGTCAATGTGCACATGTGCTTGAGAAAGGTATGGGGTTGGCTTGTTTAATTAAAGGATAATTTCTGTTGTTGCTCTCTGAGTGTACAAAGTCATAAAGTGTGGATGTTTAAAAGAGAGGCTGAAGTAATGTGTGGAGAATGTAATTGATACTCTAAAACTGTTGATTGTAAATATGCTCAGGAGGTAGATAAGTTCACACTGTTTTATAGCAGGAAGGCTTTTTATTGGTAATTTCATGTAATTGTGAAACTGGAAAAATCACTGGACTGGAGGTTTTCTATGTTTCCAGCAGGGAGTATTTCCTGCTTCACAACCCTGAAGAGCCCGAACCCCACCGCCACGCCCCCTCCATCCCTGGCCCTACAGCCACTGGCCATGACTATCCATTTTCTGGGTACAGGGTTTTCTCTGAAGGGACCAAGAGAAGGAAATAAAGAAAGCTCTTCAGATAGAAACAGGCCCATTGGTTGTTTTCCCAGGCTGGTTTCCACATTCCCAAGGGTGTCCATTACCCATAAGCCTGTGTTTCTTAGGGTTCTTTCGACTACAAATATCAGAAAACCCATCTACACAGCTCTGCTGGGGAAGAGCTAATCTCACTGTGGTCAGGCCTTGCAAACTGACAGGAACCGAGAAATAGAAAGCCTTCAGGAACCAGGAGATTGGCTCTCTCATTCTCATGCCCTTACTTCACACTGTGTCCCTTCCCTCTCTACTGTGGGTTTTCTGGTGTCTCTTCTACCTCATTTCCTTTACATCTGCCCCATTGTCTTTTAGTAGATTGGTTCCTCCTTTCCTCCACAAATATGGTGGAAGATTATTGCACCCCAGCTCTCAAGTTTGACTTAAGCTCAAACATCTAGCAAAGGATTGGCTTCCTAGCTGAGAGACCATTGGGCCAGGTGTCCACCATCTTTATCTATTGGGTCACATAGTAACAACATGGCTGTCATGGCATTCTGAGGCAGTAGTCAGAGAAGAGTCATAGGTGGCACAGATACCCTAATAGATCTCTAATGCACTGAGGTATAAAGATATGACAGTTAAGTTTTTAATTCCTAGAGATGAAGCCCAACTACTGAATTAAAATGTTAACAAACACAGAGAGGACTTACCCATGCATGGTTTACTCTCTCCTCAGCCTTAATGGAGCCAAGAGGTATATGATGCTCCCATTTCAAAAACCGTCTTTCACGTACTCAAAAGAGGCATGTGGTGGAGTTAACCTTTCAATTCTACCTTAATGACAGTTTGGCGTACTTCCTTTTGACATCAAACAAGTATTTTCATTACCTATGGAGCACAAATTACAGCCGAGGTGGAAGCACCCGTTTGAGGTCAATGTAGGTTTGGTTTTTTTTTTTTTTTTTGCTTTGGAAGAAAGCCACAGATAAAATCTGAGAAGCTCACCGTGACTTGATTTATATCTACACAACACAGAATAAATAGGATTAAATGCCAGATGTGTTGACAATGAATTTTCATAATGGCCTCTTTCTTCAAACAGCATTGTTCTAAAAGTATTACCTCATCACTCAATTGGTATAACAAGCCAAGGGCTGTTTCTTGCCATGTTATAGCTGACAAAACTGAGGTTCAGAAGGATGATGTGTTTCCCAAAGTCGACTGACTGGTAAACGGTAGTCAATACTAAAGTTCACGTCTTCCCAGTTATAATCCAATTGCCATTTTGCTATATCACTTTGCTTCTTTATGAACTACTGGATCTTTTTCCCTTTTCCTCTCCAGAGATATCGTCCACTCTTCTCCATCCTGTTTGGTGCTCCAGGGGGATGACTTTATCAGTTGAATTCACAGAATTCCTTGGCCTCTGGCTTCTAGTGAATTCAGTCAATAGGAAGCACCAGCAAGAAATCAGAGTGAGGTCAGAGTATTTTTTGGACTCCTTCTTGCAAGATCTCTCTCTCTCAAAGGCCAGAGCTCCTACTGGATAGCCCCTACTTTCTCTAGGTTTCAGTAACTCCCTCTTCCTCTTGACCTCATAGGGCTAAGTGTGGTAATATCGCTCAACTCTTGCTAACCCTAAAGTGCTATACCACCCCTTGTTGGTTTTCCTTACCCCTTCCATCTCTTCAGCTCACCTGAATTACCCTGAGTGTCTCATCTTTTTCCTGCCAAAACACTGATCAACAAACAGTGTGCATTAAACTCCTGATTATTGTGTGATTAAAGCTTATGTAGATATTATTTCTAATAGTGTAAATAATATCCTTTAAAAGAACAGATTTTACAATCTATTACTTGCAACTCACTACTCACAGATATTCTTTTGATTTTAGTCAGAGCTTACAAGTTTTTCCATCCTACATTCTAGCTTCTTTCCATCCATGCCAAAGGAAACATCCTTTACTGATCCGAGCCTTAAGTAGGCAGTCTGGGCAACTGGAACTCACTGCCATGGTTCCTGTCTACCACGTTTGGGATTATCTCTACTCCTCAACACAGGATGCTCAAAAGAAGAGGAAATACGTAAAGGAATTGCCTTCCTTGAGGGACACATGGGAAAAAAGACTGAGACTGAGAGACAGAGAAGAGTGACCAAAAAATAGAGAGAGGAAGAGAGCTTGATAGACTGCACATAAAACTACAAACTTGCACAACCACAAGAGACAGCCCAGTCCATACTGACTGTGTATAGGCAGGAATTGTACCTGAATTTCAGTCAATTGTTTATTTTCTGAGATATTGATTCTGCATAAGACTAAATACAGAGGGTGTTAAGTGGGTCACCGTATTCCTCTCTCTTCACCCAGACATACATACATAGTAAGTCCATACTCCCCATGCAAATTACTCTGTATGGCTATTTTGGTGTTTACTGATCCCTGTCAGCCAACCGTGCTCAAAACACTAGCAACAATCATGCTCCAAATGACAAATTTACTCAATCAGAGTAGCTTTCCTATGTCTCATGACTGCCCCAGGATCCAGCACAGTGCCTGGTACACAGTGAACATTCAGGACATGTTTTGGATAAAAATGAATGCCTGCAGGATTTTGGAAATCCAAAACAGTCGAATCATGTCAGAGAGAGAATGGAAGAAGGGGGAGGGGCTCTAAGAGAAAAGAGACAATGCAGGATGTGCTGTCAGATGGCTTTCTGTGCTCATCTTCCTGTTCTCTCTCCAGCCACCTTGGGAAGAGTCACCCTCTCAGAAGCTGCCACTTCTACAGCCCACCAAACTTGGCTGCTTTCCTAATTCTAGCTGTAAATGAGCATTAATGCAGGCATTGCAACTCAATTTGTGTCTGCTTCGACCAAGCAATGCTTAACAATGGAAGAAAATAAGTCCTAAATTATTCTCAGAGGAGGGCACAGCATGGAGCAAGCTGAGAGGGTGGCTTGCACTGCATTCTGCTCCTTCACACCAAGGAGCCACAAACCTGTAAGCCACAAAGGATGTAATAAAAGACAACTCCAGCCCTTCTTGGCAGTCAGCACCTTGGTTTTTCCTGGGTAACTAAAAGCCTCAAAAATAGTTTTTCAGACACCATTTTGAGTCTCCACAAGAAATTCAGAATGTTGCTGCAGGTAAAATATTCAGCTCTCCAGAAAGCAGGACGGAAAAGTGAATTCTTTTCTGCTGCAGCAAAATGTTTTATTTTATTCTCTCTGGTAAGAAAAGAGCAGGCACCACCCCCACCACCTTCTGCTGCACCCCCCTCCATAGAAATTTTGGGCACAGCCACACCACCGAACACTTCCCTATGCCTGACACTTCTTAATCCTCAGGATCCGGAGATTTCACTTCAAATACATTTAAGATACATTTTCCTGGGTTCTAGAGCTGGGACCTGCAGAAAATGCTTAGATAAACAAAGTTGGATCTTACCTTGAAGGAACTTAAAATCTAGCATTTAATTTTATTTTCATGTATTTATTTATTTGCTTTTCAGCCTGAAAAGGATTGAGGTGGTTTACAGAAATGCAAATCTTACAAATGAGATAAAATGAAACTCAGAATAAGCTGGTGAAGAAATCAGGAAAGAAATAAAATGAGGACAAGAAACATAAGGTGAAGCTAGGAATAAAATTAACACCCAAATTACAGCCTGTAAAATTCTGTAGCTTGCTAGGTGTGATCCTCAATTTGACTCTAGGCTCCCTAGAAGACAGGATACAGTCTAGAAGAACAGACACGCCAGGCCTCCAAATAACCACAGGGGTGAATGATGTGAGCTCTGGAGCCAGGTCACCTGGGTTCCCCATCCCAGATCACAGTTATAGGATCTAAGCCAAATCACTCAATTTTTCTAAATTGCCCTTTCTTTATGTGCAAAATGGGGATAACAGTGCCTACTTCATAGGATTATTTGAAGAATAAAAGCATGTATGCCTATAAGAATATAAAGTACCCAGTAAGCACTTGCAGGTGAGTGAATATTGGCTTCCTTACTTCCTGCTAGGTTCTTTGGCTGGGTTACAAATTAAATTGACATAAGACAAGAGAAGAACCATATTAAATTACATATGTATGCAATGGAGTCCCACAAAATATGAGACTTGAAGAAGGGTCAGATGATTGAAGCTTATATAGCATCCTGAGCTACCCACACAAAGGAACAGGGGCTAGGGCTTCTGGAAGCAGGTAGCAACAAGTTATGGAAGGGTCAAGGGTGGAAATGTATGTTGAATAAAGATTGTCTCATTATGCAGATAAAAAGTATCTCAGGTAATAAAGGTTGCCTGAAGCAGCCCTTTTCCCAATACAGATACAGTTACTAATGTAGATTTCTCTTACAGTGGTAAATTTTCTTTTATGACAGGGCAGCTTTTCAGAGCCACTCTTGTGTCTACAATTTCTCAGAATAACCAGCTCAGAATATACCAAAGAAGTATATTTTGGGGTGGCATATTTTGACTCTTACAGTCATATTTTGGGGTGATGTGTCCAGAGCCCTGATAGGCTCCATAAGCGCTGCCTAGTACAAGACAGAATATGACAAATGCTATAAGAGAAGTTCAAGTTTATTACCAAACATAGGAGAAAAAGATGGATTTTAACTAAAGATAGGGAAGGGATGTAGATCAGGAAGCATTTTGCACAGGAGACAGTAAGCAAGTGTACATTGAAGGAGAAGTCAGATTTTGTCCACCAGATGGAAGAAAAAAGAAATGGAAGGTATTTTGAGCCGAAGGAATAGTACAAATGTGAAAACAGAAAAGCACAGCATGTGCTAAAGGAACAATAAGTATTCGAGAATTCAGACATGAAGACACTTATCATCACCATATTAGTCAAGAAACTTGTAGGTATCAAATGGCAGAAACCCAATGCAAACTGGCCTAAGAAAACAAAAAACGTGGGTTGTAGTATTTCACATACCTTCGAAGCTCAGGGGTAGCTTCGGGCACAACTAGATCCAGCACCTCCAACAATATGTCATCAGAATTCTATTTCTGTCCTTCTCTCAGCTTTACTTTCGCCCACGTTTGATTCCTCCTCAGGCAGATTCTCCCATTGGAATACTACCCAGCACGTCCAAGTTTTCATGTCTCTAATCTCAGGTCAGTGGAATGGCCACATAATCATCACTTAAGCGATGCTACGGGAATTTTAGAGAATTTCACAGAATATTTCTGTTCTTCTGGGCAAAAGACAGGATGGTCCTGGGGCCATGTGCCTAGTGTTAGCCAAAAAAAAATATGAGTGGAGGTGACTTTTCCACATACAGGAGTTGTAAGCAGCTGTCAGCCATATTCCCTTCACTTGTCATTGTGATCCTGGTCCTCTCGTGTCAAGATAAGATTTCATCAACCTGGTGAGCAGAGGTTCCAAGCCTCATCTCCTCTGTCTCAGGTTAACCTAATGGTTTATTCTACAGAAAGAGCTTGTTCATCTCACTTCCAGCATTGGGCCACTTGCCAACCAAGGCATCACTTTCCACTTGTCCGGTCCTAATCCTTGTACAGTGTTGGTGAACTCTCTCAAGGCGTGTCTTCTAGAAAAATCTCTAAACTCCTTTAACACCTTCTTCTTTTCCACAGACCAGAGGCTTGTATTTCCTACTAGTCAGATACCAATACCATATGGCCTACCACAAAATGCAGGGCAAGAATTGGTGGCTTCAACTCTGTAGTCAGGTAGATTCATGCAAATCTCCAGGAGCTGGTTATCCCAGCCCTGATTTGACAAAGCTTCCTTCCATCCATGAACATTGGCAGGTTTTGTTTCTCACTGCTACTCATGAGTAAGTGAATCACCTGGTTATCCATTTTTTTGTATCTAAAAAAGGCAAAATTTCAGCCCTTCTGGGTTTTTACACAGGAAGCAGCTTCACGATGTGTATAATAGCGCACTGGCATTTGGCTGGGTCTGATACATGCCTGTACTAGATGCAGGTTGTCTGGCAGCAAAGGAGTTATCAACACTTCCTGCCCTGCCCAAATTATAAAGTAGGCAACATCACCTTGGCTCGCCCAGCACCTGAATGTCCTGAGTTCCCTCCTTCTTTGCCGTCACAGCCTTCCTCATCTTTGCTGCTCTCTGCTGACAATTTAAAAACCCGACATGTGTTAACTCTCTCCTTGTCTTCCAACCCACCCACTTATCACCTCAGTGCCATGCTCCCAGGTGGCAAGCAGAGAGGACTGTGGTTTGATGAGTTCATTCATGCCGTGGCTTTAATTACTGATAAGAGCTTGATTATACACATTCTCAAAGGCATTGGAAAGTTAAAAGAAAGTCCTTTTAGGTAGCAGTCCATGACAAATGCAGTTCATGAAATCTGTGTCCTTTTCATTCCCTTCTGAGTAATTCCTCTCTGTCTCTATCAAAGCCTTGGATACTCCATGGTTTACTAGGCAGAAACTTATCCATCCAACACAGCCACATGGATACAGCTTTGTGCTTTTAGACAATAACCACTTGAGAAAACCTGACCTTTTCCCCCACTCTTCATTCAGCTTCTGTCCTGCTGAAAACAAGAGGACATCCTGCCACATTGTCATCTGCTCTGCCTTACTCTTGAGAAGTCTAGTTGGGAAAACAGGCCCTATAAAGAGAGACACTGCAATGCCATGGGGTGAGGACAATAAAAGTGATGGCAGCAGAGCACTGGAGAGCAGAGGTGGGGTCACCAACTGCCCAAATGGCACTGTCCCCTCAGAACTCTTGCATTTGCTTTTAACGCAAAAGGGCCCACAGCAAATTATCACCATCCAAGAAAGAGACAGTTCAATGGGAATCCGGGCTGCCATGTTGCATAAGTCCAGGGGCCACACCATTCATCCAAGGGAATGGAGCTCCTGGAGGGGTGCCACAGAGTGATGCTTTTAGGAGGAGACAGCACAGTTAACAAGAGGCTCTTTCAAAACTTAGCAGCCAGTTCCACCTACTCTGTTGGGCAGGTAAACCCACTCTGGGCAGTTGATGGAGATTCTTCTACACTTCAGAAGATTTTCTAGAGATCTCTGAGTGAAAAACAAATTAAGAGAGTACCAAGTGGACATGAAACTTCCATATGTGATGTAGTCCAGAAGGAGGGGGTACTCACTGACGCATCCACCCATCCTGACTTTTGATACCCTTAGTGTCTAATATGAGTCACACTCATCAAAGCAAAGGTACTATTTTGCTCTGTGATATCTGTTCCTTAAGGTTAACAAATCTGTTGTGATGGAGTTATGGTTGGAAATTTAAAACTGTTTCCCTGTGATTCACCACATGTTACCTAAAAGTTTCTGGAAATCTTTTTTCAGTTCTGAATTTCTCAGGAATCATTTTTTAAAAGAATGTATTGTCTTCCCCTAACAAAGGAGTTCTTCTCATTTGCCAATTTGTGTTCATGGCATATTTTCATTTGGTGTTGCTCCCAGCCCTCTGAGCCACCCACTCTTCTGCTCCCTCTTTCCCACAGTTTAAATCCCCTCAATTTGCCAAGTCTGTTGATTCTATCTCTGCAAGTTTGCTATAACCTGTTTCCTCATTTCTACCCTCAAAGGCATCATCTCTCTTTTAACAGGTGACCTTGACTCCAATCACTCTCTCCTCCAATCCTTCACAAACATTGTTTCCTCCTTAAAAGGAAACCCCAGGCTGGGTGCAGTGGCTCATACCTATAATCCCAGCACTTTGGAAGGCAAAGGTAGGTAGATTTCTTGAGCCCAGGAGTTTGAGACCAGCCTGGTCATCATAAGGAACTCCTATCTCTACAGAAGATTATTTTAAAATTAGCTGGAAGTGGTGGTGCATGCCTGTGGTCCTAGCTACTCAGGAGGCTGAGGGGAGAGGATCACTTGAACCCAGGAGGTCAAGGCTGCAGTGGGCCATAATCATGTCACTTCCCGCCAACCTGGATGACAAAACAAAACCCTGTCTCAAAAAAAAAAAAAAAAGAAACCTCAAAAGGTTCCACTGCTATTTAAATACCCTTAATGGCAATTAAGTACAAATTAAGGATAGGTCTTCAGTCTGGCATGAAAGCATCTCTACAATATGTCTCTGGGTTGTTGTGTCTCCCGTCATCCTCCCAGACCAAGGCTTCTCAAAATATGGCCCATGGAAATAAGGACCAGGAACTGATCCAAAACTGCTAGTCTTTTCCTCAGACCTCAAAAGCTAATTATGAACAATTTCACAGATGATTGTTTATACCTATAACTGAACATTTTTACTGAAAATCCACTAAGTAGGCAAGGGGACCAAAATTAGGTAGTCATAAGCTCTCATGAACACCATAGAGAGTTTCTCAAGAACTCCAATGCAGTATTCTAAACAGTCTGGCTATTGTACAAAACCACATGCACACATGTCGATACGTGAACTTCCTGTGGATAGGCAATGGGTGAACTGTGAAGTATTTTGCCTAAATGGTCCCTAGTTTTAAAAAGTTTAAGTACACTGCTCTAGGAGTAATCTAAATACCAGTCAAACTAAGACACTCTGTTCTCTGAATAAGCCTGTATGCTTTTCTGCCTCTCTACCTCTGTTAACTCGGTTTCCTCTGCCTAGGATACCCTTCCTATATCTGACTATATAAATGTACCTCCTTCTGGGTTCATTTCAAAACCTCCTCATCTCATCAGATATGACACTAATGTCTGAACCCTAGGTGGTCCTTGCAAATTCCTGTGAAACTTAACTCATCCTATCACACATTACCATATTTATATCCTTGCATTAATTCCTCTAACAGATTGCAATCTCCTTGAAGGTAAGTATTACGCTTACCTGATATTTGCAGCCCTTCAAGCACCTAGCATAATACACAACACATAATGGCCACTCACAAATTTTCACAAAAAAAAAAAAAAAGCATCAGCCACAAAGATATAAATCTACAATGAATTTTCCTTGGAGTAACAGAATAGTTTTATAGAGCTGAGTTACTTTGGCTAATGTAAATTGAACTATTCAATTCACAAAGATAGTTATCACGTATATAATTCTATTTTAAAATTAGCAACAGGCAGGATGAAGCATTTTAGGAAAGAAATGGTAAATATGTCTAAGCCTGGGGCCTATTGAGAATTACAGTACCAAAAAAATTACCACATTTTCCTGAATGTGAGTCCTCTCCACTACCGACCCTCTGCACACTCCCAGAGCCATACTTTCCGCTTCCCTCTCCTCTTCATTTCCCTCTGCCACACACAAGTACACACACACACACATGCATGCATGTACACACATACATACAAGCACATGCACACACATGTTCCTCCCCAGCCCATTTAGGGAGCTCTCTGAAAGTTGCTTTTTCTCATACTTTGCTTATGCCTTTAAAACGGCTTAAACTACAAAAGTCACACTTTCCTAATGGGCCAATATTTAAAACTGTATATTCCAACTTGAGTTCTAGAAGGCAGCTAGGACATAACAAAAAGAACACTGGTCATGGACTCTCATTACTGGGGTTTCAATTCCAGCCCTGCCTCTTTCTGGCTGTCTGTCCTTTAGAAAGTCATCCTCTCTAAATCTCAGTGTCCTTATCCTGAAGATGGGGATAAAAATCACTATATGCTTCACAGGGTTCTTCTAAGAATTCAGTGCAATCATGAATATGGAACAGCTATGGAAGCTGTAAAGTGTTCAGGAATCACCCTTATTCTATAAAGTTACTGCAGAGAAGTTAACCTAAACCCAGGGATTTTATCCGATTTTCACGCCAGTGCAGAATATGTCAAGTTTTAGTTTTTAGTGTGACTTCAGCCCTTCTGTAAGCAGAATGACTGAGAGTCTGGACTTAATCAGTGATCAGAGGAAAAGAGAGGCAGGGAAAGGGGAAAAAATCAGATTTATTTCTTGATGTTTCTCAGACGCTGATAAATGACAGCCTACAACCCTGTGAGGACACATTTCCAGTCCTCTCAGAGTCTATGTATCACTGCCTTAGTCACTCAGTTAACCTGTCATGTGCACAGAGTTGGCAAGGCTCGAGCTACAAGCAGAAACCTCCCTGAATTCACAGACACCTTCCATAAGCTTCTGTTCTCAGGAAGTTCAGCCTCTGTCTCCTGGACAGCAAAGAACTCCTAAGGCACTTCTGCCCTCCCCAATCCCCGACGAAGAGGCAGATGAGAAGTCAAATGGCAAACATTTCTCAACTCAAGAGTCAATGATGCTAAAGCAGTTGCAAAACAGGGACAGCCAGTTCCACATGTTATTAATATTTCAGGCCTGGTGGCATGGCTCTGCAGTACAGAATGTGACGCCAATGTAGATGCAGTTCTTAATGAGCCAATTATTTTCTCCCAAAAATGGGGAAGACTGGTCGAAAACGACAGATGCTGGATGCCTAATACCCACCAGTCATCCAGCAAACATAATCGGGGGGAAAAAACATTCATTCATTCATTCACTCAACAAATATTTATCAGGCCCCAACTATGTACCAGGTATTGTTTCAGGCTGTGGAAACTTAACCAACAAGAGCTCCACTACTGCAGAGTATTCTTTCTGGGGAATGTGTATATGTGCATATAGTTGTGTATGCATGTGTGTGTGGGTGTGTGTAGGTGTGGGTGTGTGTATACATACACATCCACTGGGGGGCAAGAGGGAGAGAAAAATGGAGAAATTAATTTTAAAACTAGGATAATTTCAGACAATGATCAAGGTCATTAAAAATGATACAGAGTAGGGCCAAGCATGGTGGCTCATGCCTGTAATCCCAGCACTTTGGGAGGCCGAGGTGGGCAGATCACCTGAGGTCAGGAGTTCAAAACCAGCCTGGCCAACATGGTGAAACCCAGTATCTACTAAAAATACAAAAGTTAGGCAGGCGTGGTGGCGGGCACCTGTAATCCCAGCTACTTGGGAGGCTGAGGCAGAAGAATCACCTGAACCTGGGAGGCAGAAGTTGCAGTGGGCCGAGATCGTGCCACTGAACTCCAGCCTGGGCAACGAGAGTGAAACTCCATCTCAAAAAAAAATGATACAGAGTAATATGATAGAGATTTTAGGGTATAATGGGAGAACAGCTTTAGTTGGAGGGTAAAGGAAAACTGCTTCAAAGAAGTGACATTTGAACTAAGATCTAATAAGAAGGATCCAATTGTGCAAAGTTCTACAGAAAGAGTCAGGGTGGAAAGCGTGCCATCATGAGAAACCCCACCACCTCTATTTGAAATAGTGTTTCCATGATGGAGTCTCCATACACAGCTCATTAATACTTCAGGAATTATAGTATCAAAGTTGCTTATTCCTCTAATCCCCTGGAGCCCAGGAACACTCTTGGGATAGATCAACAAATTATCAAGAGCCTCATTTTGCCTCTTCCACATAGGATGTTCCTTAATCATTTCAGAGTCTCTTTTCACAGAAGATCCCTGAAATTTACCTTTAAAAAGTAAGACAATGTATATGTGTTTGTGTGTGCCTACACACACATGCATATATACACACAGGTGTATGTACACACCAATACGTATGTACACACATATACACATGTACATATGTACACGATTTAAACCCAACTTCTAAGCATGGCTGTCAAAGACTTTGAAATGGACCTTAGAAGTTATGATGCTTGAGAGCACCTAGAGGAAAACACTCAGTCAAGTAGGGGAGTAGGTGTCTTTGTACCCTGGACCTCCACCTACCTCAATACCTACCTCAGACTTGGACATGGATTAGTGTCTGAGCAACCTGGAGTTGGCAGAAGCTAGAAGTGGTTTTAAACAGTGCATGAAGCTGATTTAGAGATCAGGCAAAAATAGGCAGTGTAGCAGGGGAATAGAACATTTGAGACAGGAAATACAGCCCCATTCAGGTATGGAGAGGATGTGCAGCTTTCCGCATCTCAAGAGAAAACCTCTTCAGGGATATGTTTGTTTAATGTGTGCCTCCCCTCACTGGAATGTCCATAAGGCTAGGAACCCTGGTGCATTGACTGAAACATAACAGATTCATAATGAACTCTTACGAAGGTCACTGCCAATAATGACGAAAGATGGACATCACTGAGGAGCGTGAAGACAAAAGGGAAAAATGGGAGGGGATTATTTGTAGGCACAACAGGCAGCTCTTCATACACCCATGAACACATGGGGGCAAATTATGCAAGTTAGGAGGGGGCCAAGAGGTAGCAAGGAAGAAGTAGGTTATTGCCATTAACTGGTTCCCCTTGTACCACATGATAAAGAAGTCTGTAGATGCAAACACTATCCAGGCTAATATGACATTTTAGGTCCTTGGAAGACCATCTAGATTCCGTGGTCAAATTATGAGATCATTTGAAACTGTAAGGAAATACTCTGAACACAATCCCAAGTAGGCATTGTATTCAACACCAAACCCGGGCAAAAAACCGGTTCCACTTGTCTACCCTAATTTCCTAAATAGTTGCTGTTAGGCTCACCACCCTATTAGGAAATTCAGGTGATGTGGACATCCATGTTTTCTCAACAACTCTGATGTATTGAGCTATAGCTCTGTGATCTCTGCAGAGAAGGCAATGCAAGTTATCTTGCCAAAGAAAATTCACTGTCTTGTATGTCTATGCATTGGCAGCCTGGTCAGATGTAGTTAGGAATCCTTTCCTGGGGAATTTGACCTTGGTCACTGTGAGTCTCACCATGAGTCCAGCTGAGACGCCAACAATTTTTCTTCCATCCACAGCAGGACTTTCCTCTAAATGTATTTTGAGCCCTCTGAGTGCTTAACCAGACAAAGGTAAGCCTTTGGAGGCCAGTGTACCAGCTTGGTGCTCAAAGCCTAAATATGTGCACACTTCACAAGGAGTATTCATCCAAAACTTCAAAAGTTATTAACTCTCAGAATCCATAATATTAATAATGCTAGCTTTAGACATAGAGAATGAGGAGCAGAGGTCTTCAAGGAGAAAGGAAGATTTAAAGATTCAGTTCTTCCATTGATGATTGGGTTAAGATCCCTTACTAAAGGGCATAAGGATGGATGGATCGATCCCCCTCCCTCTCTCTCTCTCTCTCTCTCTCTCTCTCTCTCTCTCTCCACCCACCACCCCCCCCACCCCCACCAGTAAAATGGGCATAACAAAGCCTACCTGCCAGCATGGGTAAAAAGATTGAGATAATGTGTGAAAATATTCTTATCAAGAGTATCTGGCATTTAGCAAGCACTCTATAAATATTAACAAATAAAGAGGAAAATAACAGAATTCAAGCTAACCCAATAAATTCCTTCCCATACCCCAATAAAAATGACTTGGGCAGCTGGTGATATGCCAGTATAAAGCACTTGGAGATTCCAAGAAATTGTTGAGTGGGTGAGAGCAGAAGCCAGGGGTACCCTGGTTTTAATTATTCGGATGACCTCATGAGAGTCACAAGCTGAGTCATCCGGGGACACAAGCCCACACAATGGAGTCAACAAATGGTACCCGAGCCCAGTGACAGAGGCCATATGTCCTCGTGGAAGCCCTGCAGCAGTTTCCTCCTCTAGCCCCGTGCAGGGCACAAAGAAAACACATTTCCATCTCTCCATTTACCAAGAAAGGACTAGAAAACCTCCTGTCTCCAAGGCCTCCTCTTCCTCGAAGACTTCTAGTTCCCCTCTTAAAGACACTGCCACCTCCTCCTAGTAGTGCCAGTTCCTTGTCACTGTAGCTCATGCTCACTGTAGAGTATAATATAGTGGTTACACATACCTGCTCTGGAGAGATGAGGCCTGGCTCAAGTCTCAGATCTGCTAGCTTCCAGCCAAAGGACCCTGGGCAAGTCATCTAACTTTTCTGTACCTTCACTCATCATCTGCCTGTAAAATGGAGAGAAAGGTTAATATCAACTTCCTAAGGTTGCTGCAAGGATTCAACAAGATGATGAATAGAAGCTGTTAGCAAGGGTCTAGCGTACAGCAAGGGCTCAATGAGTAATATCATCCTGGTCACTCTTTATCGAATCAGTGCAGGGCCAGAGTACCAAGGAAGAGTCTAGACAGAGCTCGACAAACCTTTGTGGCCACAGTGGTAGGTATGGGCAGGCACAATGCAACCTCCAAAATCACTCTTCCTGCCCGCTTCAGCAAAACAAACAGGGAAAGGCCCCTGTGCCTGCCAAAACTTTGCCTGGTAAATAATTGATGTCCCACCGTGTGTTCTTTTATTCAGAAGTGCCTTTGAAGTTTCCTCTCGCCCTTGCCGCAGGGATTTGGGGGATGGGGAGGATGTGAGGGAAGGAACTGCAGAAGAGGAACAAGCAGTGTGTGATCAGGAAGATGGAAAAACCAAAGCCATTTCTGCTACAAGTTCAAGTCTGAAGTCAACAATTGTAACTTTTAATCAAGCAAGGATTCCTAGCAGCCAAGTGCCAAAAAAAAGGGAAGATCAGGAACAATTCAAAAGCGATTCCTAGCAACAGCTGTGGGTGCTAGACCAACAGCTCCCTCCTGGGGAGGTGACAGTTGGTGAAAACAGTCTGCGGCAGGCAGGAGTTTACCTGGGCAAGAGCAGCCAGCAAGCCTCGTGGGGACTAATTATGAAAATATGATTATAATGGATTAGTAATCTTGTCAATCAAAGCCACATGCCAGGTAGCACCTAGCAGTGGGTGAAAATGCCAGTGGACAGAACAACGTGATGCTGTGGTTTTTTGAACAAAACGTTCTTCCCCAGGAGGAAAGGCCTGCTGGGGTCCAGGGGATGAGAACGTGTGGGAGAGGCACTAACAGGCCCTCTGGGGAGGGGCAGGCGGGATGCTCGGCAGGACGGCCCTAGCACATCTGCAATCGAAATTCTGCTTGGCGTCCCTTTATTGCCATCCATGAGAATTGGTCCAAAGCTTGCTTCCTGTTTTACATAAGCCTGAACAGAAATTAGTATTATCTTCCCATGGCAGTCAAGGAGAAGTAAATAGAGTTTAAGAAATGATGATAATTGTAATAATAACCACAAATACCTTTCCCTGAACACATAGAAGCTAGCTTGTGCCTAGCTTGGTGCCCGCGCTTTACAATCTTTATCTCATTTAATCCTTACAAAACCCTGGGAGACAGGGTTATTATTCTATCTCTACTGAGTAAACAGAAACTGATGTATGTTTTGAATTGACCAACGTCACACTACAAGAAAAGCAGATCAGCCCAACTCCAGAGCTCACTCCATCATCACCAGGTTCTGTTGCCTGTTGCAAAATGGTAACCCAAAACCTGAGCTCTTCCCTCTCCCTTGAATGCAGTCATCAAATATCCGCTGTGTCACAGTGACAACCATGAAAAAAGGAAAGGCCAGAGTCCAGAGGGCAAGATGCATAATTGGGAATCAGAACTATGTTTCTTTTTCTTTTTTCGTTTTTTTTTTTTTTTTTGAGACCGAGTCTCACTCTATCACCCAGGCTGGAGTGCAGTGGCACAATCTCAGCTCACTGCAACCTCCATCTCCCGGGTTCAAGCGATTCTCCTGCCTCAGCCTCCCAAGTAGCTGGGATTACAGGCACGCACCACCACTCCCAGCTGACTTTTGTGTTTTTAGTAGAGATGGGGTTTCACCATGTTGGCCAGGCTGGTCTTGAACTCCTGACCTCAGGTGATCCACCCACCTCGGCCTCCCAAAGTGCTGAGATTACAGGCATGAGCCACTGTGCCTGACCAGAACTATGTTTCTTAATAAGAACTACTTTTTTTTTTTTTTTGAGACGGAGCTTCACTCTTGTTGCCCAGGCTGGAGTGCAATGGCACAATCTCGGCTCACCACAACCTCCGCCTCCTCAGTTCAAGCGATTCTCCTGACTCAGCCTCCCTAGTAGCTGGGATTACAGGCATGTGCCACCACGTCTGGCTAATTTTGTATTTTTAGTAGAGACGGGGTTTCTCCATATTGGTCAGGCTGGTCTCAAACTCCCAACCTCAGGTGATCCACCCGCCTTGGCCTCCCAAAGTGCTGGGATTACAGGCATGAGCCACCGTGCCCAGCCAATAAGAACTACTTTTTATTGAGCATTTACTATGCCTTGTCATTGGATTTGTTAAATGAAGTTTAACCTAAAGCTGCCTCCTTAACATATTTCAACCTAAAGTTTTCTCCATGCGTAGTAACCTAACTGGATGTGTAAATGGACTACAACCCACTCTTGTGCCAATCACCGATGTGTAAATGAACTATAACCCACTCTTGTGCCAATCACCAAGTTTTGGCCAATCAAAGATGGCCAACTGTTTAAACTGGGTTCAAATAAGGCAAATGCTGAGCTGTAACCAATCCAGCTATTTCTGTACCTCATTCCCATTTTCTGTAAGTCATTTTCCTTTTTCTGTCCATAAATCTTCTTCTACCATGTAGCTATACTGGAGTCTTTCTGAGCCTACTCTGGCTCGAAGGCTGCCCAATTTGAGAATCATTCTTTGCTCAATTAAACTCTGTTATATTTAATTTGTCAAAGATTTTTATTTTCACAGATTAAATGCTTTGGTTGTATTTTGATATTAAATCCCTGATGTGAATGTACAAAGGAGGTATTATTATTCTACTTTCCAGATGAGAAAATTGAATCTCAGAAAAGTTGGAGAAAGGGCCCAAATGCCATAGAGCTGGCAAGAGTCAGAGGAAGAACTCTAGACGAGGCTGTTTTGATCCCTGAGCTTGGCTTCTTAGGTTCACTCTGTCCTGAGAGACACATCTGGGAGCTTTAACAAATCCTCATCAACCCTCACCCTGACCTTGTATGCAGAGCACTCCGCTAAAGACTCATCAGTTTGCTCTTTACCTTCCCCCTCCACAAATAGGGATAACATTTGTCAAGTCATTTGGGGTGGGGAAAAACAATTCTGTCCAAATTCATAGAATGAAATTTGGGAAAATTGTTAGTGAAAAATTCTACAATGACCTAGATTTCATTCATTACTTATCAGTGCTAAAGGATCAGAATGAAGAAGAAAACAGATCTGTTTTCTAGCTTATGATTGTTAGCATATGAAAAATGGAGGCATGCTCAGCTAAAATTAAAAAAAAAATGAAAATGTTTTTGTAACACTGTCACAGCCAAACCAAAAAAAAAAAAAAATACTACCTCAGTGGAACATGACTTGGTCTGCCACCTTTGCTTTACTCTCTTGTTTGAAACACTTACTATCCACCACAGTGATTATTTATTTAGATGGTTTACAAACCTCCACCGCTCCCCTGTGGGCAAGAGCTCAGTTTATAAATCACATCTTGTGCATCTCTGTGTCCAGCCCTGAGCACAGAGCCTGGTATGATGCTGAGCGGCTACTCAGCCCAGCATTGTATTATGGGTTCCCTCTAGCTAATCCTATGTGGAAGCAGAGAGATAAAAGGATCTCTTCTCTTCCTTTTAAGGCTTGACATCCCCCAGTCCTGGGGAGAAATTGATATAGGTGATGTATAGGAGGTATTCACCCCTCAGACTTACACTCCCTCTCGCTAACCTGGAAGAAACAAACCTTTACACACACACACAAAAAAAGTGTGTGCACACTGGCCTTTTGCAGTGATGGATGATGTTGTCAGAAACTTGATAGGTAGCATGAGCCATCTTGAAAAAGGATCTATACATAAAGTACACAAAGAAATAAGGGGAGTACACTCCAGCAACATTGATAGATTCCCCCATTTCAAAGATGCCACTCTCAGTGTATACCACAAGCACAGAGACCAGAGAAAGAGAATTCTTATAAAGAAGTCTGATGAATGCATATTAGCGCCTTGAATGAGATGTGTGAATCCTGGGAACCAGAGGCTAAGTCTATTGACAAACTCAGCAGATGCAGGAATGTGCCCATAGCTCAAAAACAGCCTTGATCCTCAGTGTCTTCTCAGTGAACAGCATCTGGTTGGCCTTGAATATATGATTCACTGTGTGAACCTCACTATTTCTGTACCTCCTCGTAAGCCTGCAGGATGAAACCATTGTGTTTCAGGGAGGGAAGGGGAAAAAAAAAAGAAAGAAATCCTTAAGAGAGCTGAATCATCCTTTTGAAATATGCTGGTAACTTATCCAGACAGCAACTTCAAAAACAAGGGTGCTTTAAGAAAAGAGAACGCTCTCTGAGTTCTAAAGAGATGAAAATCATGCTGTTCTTTAGGTCAAAGGAAATGACTCGTGAGCTTTCCTGGCAGTGCATAAAGCAGCTCAGTAGCTTCTTCTTTCCTCCAGGAGGAGGTCCTCCAACTAGTGAATGGCCTTTAACTCTCTGCCTAAAAGCATTGCCACCATTCACCCCTCACTGTCCTGAATGATGGCCCAGGTGCAGTCTTGCCATCACACCTCTATTCATATCGTCAGCATCTCCTGGACTCCTTTCCATTCCGGGAAAATCTCAGCTATCCATCAAAACCATATCAGATGCTTCCTTCCCAAATGTCTTAATCCATATAATCTCTTTTCTTTTGGAGTTACTGTTTAGGCTCTGAATCCTCCGGTGGGCGCCCCTGTGATTTAATTGTTCCTTCTGTCCATGTATTTAATCAACACAACGAGATAAGAAAGTCAATAGCTGATATTTACTGAGCACTTACTAGATTTTGAGGCATTAAACTAAACCCTTTACAAGCACTATCACATTTATTCCTCACAACCAACCCATGTGGTAGCATCTGCTATTATGTCCATGTTACAGATGAGGAAAACCAAGGCACAGAAAGTTTGAGTGTCTTGCTCAAGGTCACATTATCAAGCATGAGTCCAGGCCTGTCTGCCCCCAGATCCTGTGATTTTAACCATCATAATGATCATAGCCTGTAATCCTCCTGGATCTTCCACGGTACTTTATACTGTTGTGCATTTCATTCATTCTTAGTGAGAGAAACTTTAGAATTACCTAGATTTTGCTCATGACTTCGCAACACTATTCACTTACCCAACATTCGTTGAGAATTTTCCATGTACCAGGCACTGTGCTAGGCCCTGGCAGATGGAAATATGATGTGATATCATGATGAACAAGACACAGCCCCTGCCCTCTAGGAGCTCATAGTCACAGAGTAGGGGCTCAGTAACTATTGGAACCAAATTACCATAAGTATAAGCCAATTACTGGTAGCCTTAACCAGGTATGTGTGCGGTGGCCTCTTAGCTAAAGGAAGCATTAAGCTGTGGGAAGACCACTGGACTGATATGCAAGAGTGCTGAGGTTTCCCTGAACTGCCAATAACATGCTGTGTGACATCCGGCAAGGGATATCTTGTCTACCAGCTCACATATAAAATTGAGAGCCTGGACAGCATCAGTGAATTCACATCTTGCCCTACCATCAGAATCACCTGTTCAATGATTTTTTTTATTGCCGAATAAGTATCTGGGGAGATGGATTAGGGAATGAATGACTCACTTGGCTGATCTGTTGTGAGATTTGGAACAACCAAGGCAGAAGGAGGCTCTACTCAACCATTGCCCCTTAATGATGTCCAGTTGATCTTTATTATTCACAGGCTTTATAGAGAGAAATTTGCTTACTCACTAAAATATATTTGTAACTTCAAAATCAATACAGTGTGGCACTTTCACAGTCATTCAAAGACATGCTTAGAGTGACAAAAAACATTTAAGTTGCCCCAGGTACATGATTCCAGTGGAGGTCAGACAAAGAGATGCTCTTGGGACTCAGAGCATGATGTGGCACTTTGGCCTGCTGAGTACTTTGAAGTGAAGGACATTGGAAGGGTCAGCAAGTTCTCTCTAACTTTATCCTGCCCTTCTGTCTCCCACGCCTCTTGTAAATTATGTACATCTCAGAGCCTCGGTTTCCTCTTACAGAATATAGGGGTAATATCTGCCTTGAACAATTGTTATGAAGATTAAATGGGATTGCATTAGTCAGGCCCTCTGAGAAGTAGATGCCAAGTCAGAATCAAAGTACAAGAAATTTATTAGGATGGGGAGTGTTGCTTAATGAGTAAAGAGTTTCTGTTTGGGGTGATGAAAAGAATTTGGCAATAGATACTGGTGATGGTTGTATGACATTGTTAGTATAACTAAACCACTGAATTGTGCACTTAAAAATGGTTCAAATGGCAAATGTTATGTTTTACATATGTTACCATAATTTGTAAGAAAAGAATTTATAAAGGGAATTACCCATAAGGTAAAATGGAAAGGGACCCACCGGGATACGGTGGGAGAGCCATCAGACTATGATGCAGGTCTGACCCCAAGCTGAAGGACAGAGGAGAGGAAGGAAGGAAAGTGTTTTGGGAAAGTTTCAGACTGTAGTGCAATTCTAAGGAAAGTTAAGCAAGGCCATTGGTGGGACCATTGTCTCCCACGAAAAGGCTTCCATAGTATCCCTGCCATGATCAGTCACTGCCTGGGAGAAGCCTGTGGAAAGCATGTCACTGGCAAAAAGGCCCTAATGGATTTCAGAGCACAGAAGCTAGGTCCATTAGTCAAGTATGTTCCCTGCAGATGGAAATCTGAAAAGCCGTTCTTATGGATGCCCCAGGGGTCATGCATGTCAAGAAACTTCTCACCCTGAAAAGATGGTGGAGAGTAAAAGTGGTGGTAATTTCTATACCAGCCATCAAAATCACCACCATTGTCATCAATCTTCAGCTCTATAATCTTTGTCTCAGTAAAAGTTTGTTCAAAGTAACATACAACCCACTCTAATTAAATCATTTCCATTTTATGCTAATTGTAATAAGTCTTATTGATTATGATACTCATCCAGACAGTTTAAACTACATTGTAAACATCAGAATGGTTAAGCCTCTTTATCTCCTATAGGTGCAGGAGGACAGTAAGGTATGATTCAAAAGTAACACGTGAGTCCTGGGTTGTGAATGGAACCTAGGCAGAGACTTCAAATCCCGCAGCCTTCTACTGCTTTATACACATGGCGTTGGCCTCTGCTGGCTTGGGTATTGCCATATTACTCATCTATCGTCTGCCTGTATCACTTCATCACCTACAAGTGAAGTAACCAGAAGAGAGAAGTCAGCATGGGCTTTCTTTCAACAAAAGTAGACCAGTATTCCATGGTGTATATGTGCCACATTTTCTTTACCCAGTCTACCATTGATGGGCATTTAGGTTGATTCCATGTCTTTGCTATTGTGAATAGTGCTGCAATATACATACATGTGCATGTGCCTTTATAATGAATGATTTATTTTCCTTTGGGCATATACCCGGTAATAGGATTGCTGGGTTGAGTGGTATTTCTGTCCTTAGGTCTTTGAGGAATCGCCACACTGTCTTCCACAATCGCTGAGCCAATTTACACTCCCACCAACAGTGTAAAAAGCATTCCTTTTTCTCCAGCAGCTGTTATTTTTTGACTTTTTAATGATAGCCATTCTAACTGGTGTTAGATGGTATCTCATTGTGGTTTGCAGGGACATGGATGGAATTGGAGGCCATTATACTTAGCAAACTTATGCAGGAACAGAAAACCAAACACCACATGTTCTCACTTATAAGGGGGAGCTAAATGATAAAAACACATGGACACATAGAAGGGAACAACACACACAGGGAGCTTTCAGAGGGTGGAGGGTGGGATGGGAGAGAGGATCAGGAAAAGTAACTAATGGGTACTAGGCTTAATACCTGGGTGATGACATAATCTGTATAACAAACCCCAATGACACAATTTTACCTATATAATAAACATGCACTTGTACCCCATAACTTACAATGAAAATTTTTTTTAAAAAAAGACATCTTGGGCCGGGCGCGGTGGCTCACGCCTGTAATCCCAGCACTTTGGGAGGCCGAGGCGGGCGGATCACGAGGTCAGGAGATCGAGACCATCCCGGCTAAAACGGTGAAACCCCGTCTCTACTAAAAATACAAAAAAATTAGCCGGGCGTAGTGGCGGGCGCCTGTAGTCCCAGCTACTTGGGAGGCTGAGGCAGGAGAATGGCGTGAACCCGGGAGGCGGAGCTTGCAGTGAGCCGAGATCCCGCCACTGCACTCCAGCCTGGGCGACAGAGCGAGACTCCGTCTCAAAAAAAAAAAAAAAAAAAAAAGACATCTTGGTTGTTTCTGAGTTTTCAATTTTTTAAAACAAAGCTATTCTAAACAACAATAACAACAAAAGTAAACCAGGAAGCAGTTTCAAAACAGAGAATCCCAACTTGCTATTCCTGGAAGCAAGATTATAACCCTGCAATGTCCCATTTAGACATCTAAGGTGATTCCTTTGCCTGAAGACAGTACATGTCTATTGCTGTATTCCCTTCAGAAAGAAGACTATGATACTCGATCAAATGTAATGGGGAAAAAAATCCTTTCTCTGTCTTCCCGTAAGGAGAAGTTTGTCAATTTTGTGTAAAAGGCAGAGCAAATGACTAGGAGAAAAAGGTAGGCTTACACAGCATTTTCAAATTTGAAACTGTTGTCTTTCCCCAGTAATTTAATTAGGTGATTCCTTTGTCTTTTATCTATTCCTTCGGAGAAAAATGAATCTATAGTAATAGAGGTGGATGCTCATTTCTATTGCTATTCTTTCCACCAAGTAAAAGCTGTTGCTTGTCTTCCCATTATGACTCCCCTTGCTCCTCCCCCCTTCTTATGAAATACCCGTCTCCTTGGCCAATGGGGTTAGGTCCTTGACTGGCCCAAGGCACAGTCATATCACTCAAGCAGGACAATGAGAGTCCCTCCCTGGTATGTTTATAGACAAAGGGAAGAGTGGGAGAAACAGGGCTTTCTCTTTCCTCTAAGGTAACTACCCTTGGATTATTTACCATTACACTACCTTGGATTATTTCCCCTTACCACATGAAGAAAAATCATATGATTTTTTCATATAAAAACCAAAATGAGGCAGAGAAGCAGAGATGGATAAAAAAAAAATAGAGAAAAAGAGAAAGATTTGTTTGTCCTGATGACACTTGAATTATTGGTTTCATCACCCCAAAGCCTTTCTAACACTAACAGATGGTTTGTACCATGTAAGATGTCAAGGAAAAGAGAGACTACCAGATAAGATCCCTGAAGACAAATGTCCCTGATTAGGGAAAAGGGTTACATGTGTGGAATGCATTCCCTGTACCTCCTGATAATTGCCCTTCTGCTTGTGATAGAATGTATTAGCAGGGAGAAGGAAGGGGACTAAGGTGCTTCAGGACCGAGAAAGGCATTGCAATGTGGAGAAAGACATAAACTATATAAAAGTTGGTCAATAGTTACTCCTTTGAGAGGAACTAGAACTCTAACACTGCCCAGTCCTTTGGTACAAGTGGACATAATGAGGATAGTTAAGTTTCTTAAAGATTCTGCAAACCAGACTGGCCCTGAGGTAGGTCAGACTTATCAAGAGAGCCCAAGTAAAGTAGAATGATCAATCAATTGTGATCACAAGAAGCTGTAAATTCCAAAATTCCTAAAACCAGGATTCAAGGTAACAAGTCAAAATAGGAGGCTGATGCCGGGGCTCAAAGGCAGAAAACTATTGCTCACTCCTTCTTCTATGAAGATAGCACCTGGCAACCAGTTGTCCCTTTGAATCATTTGATCCATAAGGCAGGTACAGAATTATTAAGGAGGTTTTCAGCTCTCCAGGTAGGGAGGGAAGTAGAACCTTGACAGTCAGCTGTCTTCATTCTCACCCCAAGCAGGATATGGTACACAAAACCAATGGTGTGCTGAGGAGTGTGGGTGGGAAGAAGGGCAGAATTCTGCCATGCTGAGCTCTCAGGTGTAGCCTACCTAGTGGTTCTGGTGCAGGTGCAGCTGGAAGAGACACACACTCCACGAGCCCCTCAAGGAAGATGGCCACGCCCACTTTCTCTCCCTCTCTCTCCAGAGTTATCACCTGCTTTGGAGCTGGCGGCATCCTTGGGACAGAAAACTGTCCTGCCCTGCCTGCTGGTTACATTGGATGACACCATCTGCTACAAAGCCAACTCCAAAAATAGAACCCAGAACTCGTCTGGAAAATGTGGGCTAGACAGCACACCGTCAAATAATGCAATTATAGGAACAAAGAGATCTGGTCCAATTGTTGGAACTTAAACCCCATCCTGCTCTCCATTCCAACACTAGCTCTGCTATTTATCATCACAAAGCCATTATCTTGATTACCCCACAGGTGCCTTGTTGGTCACAAGAGGAAATGATGAAACGTCCCAATTTTCATAGTTATGTAAGTATAAAAATATCTTTCCTGAGCAATCTGAAAGGTATTATTTCTTACAGTTTGCACAAGCATATGAAACTCATGAAGAATGGACTGCTCCCTTTCCTTTGAACCCCTACTGCTTTCCCTGCTCTGGGTCAGAGAAAAACACTGTAGGAGAGAGAAAAAACATGCCTGACGGGATCTACCACCAGTCCATGCTGGCCCAGCTCGGCTGGGTCCTCACTGCTTTCGGCAATGCAAGGATCTCCTTATTCACCATCAGACCACAAGGAGGGATGTCTTTACCTTGAATCCAAATTGCGCTTCTATTTGCAATTCCTCTAATCCACTCACATTTTTTTCAAGCCTTCACCACGATCTTATGCTTTTACTCTGAATGCAAGACCTTCTTCCAAGACCATCCAATACGAGCTTCCTTATCTCACAGCTGCCCCTACTTCACTCTTCCCTTTGCCATCATCCTACCTACCTCCTACTCACCTCCCTAAGACAGTCAGCACTGTAGCCTCTCAACTATGCTCGCTCTCCAGCCCCTCCCCACATCCAATCCATCCTGAATGCTGCCTGCCACGTTAATACTATTACAGCATCTCTTTGATCATTTCACACACATACTTAATTTCTTTGGCTCCTGATTACCTAAAGAAAGAACTTGTTAGTAGTTCAGCTCTCAAAGCCTTAACCACAATCTGCCTTTTCAGAACTGCATCCCATTGTTCCCCTATAGAGAGCTTGCTTCAGTCACACCTTGCACTTCCTTGCATCTGAACCTTTGCTCAAGCCATTTCTGCCACCCAGAGTGGTCTCTCCTCACTGCCAACTATTCCAGTCCTCCCTCCCCATACCCTAAGATCCAGATTATATGCCACTGACTACATGAAGCACTCCCTGTCTCCTCTGTGCTCCTGGAGCTCTTTGCAGCATTGTGGTTTTATACATGAGCAGATAATTACCAAGAGATGTCCACATAACAGACACCATGTTATGTACTAGGATCATAGAAGTAATAAAGATGTAGTGTTGGGGTGGGGTGGACAGTAAATAGGGTAATACAAGGGCAAATACAGGATGTTATGGGATCCACATATGTGATCTCATCGAGTCTAGTTGGGTTCGGGTATGGGTGAGGGCCAAGATTTCCTGGAGGAAATGACATACATACATCTAAGATGAGTCCTTCAGGAGAAATGGGAGTTACCCAAATGAAGAAGTGGAGAAATGAAAGACAAGTTTAGGCAGATAAAGAATGGTCCACTCAAGAAATGGTGCATTCAGTGGTTCAGTGTAGCTGGAGCAGATAATTCAAAAAGATGCTGAAGTGATATGAGAGAAGGCTGAAAGGGGAAACAGAAATCAGCTCATAAAGAGGCTTGTGGACCATGTGAAAGAGCTAGGACTTGATCCTGAGAACACAAGGGAGCAGCTGAGGAATTATCAAGGAGTACCTGCCCCTTCTTGGGTGTGGTAAAACCTTTCTGCAAAGAGTGTGGATTAAAAGATCAAACTACTGGAGTAATGTAGACAAAAGGTGAAGGTGTCCTCTGCTAACAGAGTTTTGTGATGATAGGAGTGGGCTGTTTTGAGAGCTATTAAGGAGGTAGAACCACCATGATCAGCCATTGATTAGGTGAAGGTAGGGGTAGGAGTAAAGGGTGATGCTCAGGTTTCTGGCTTGGGCAACTCTTTGGATGGGAGTACCATTTACTGAGATGAGGGAAATGGGTAAGAACAGTTTGGAAGGAGTTAATAAAACGTCTTTGGAATTTTCAAGGCATGATGTCCAATTAGCCCACACTTAGATAGATGGGGATAGAGTTGAAAAGAATAACCTGGGCTTAAGTTTTCAATTTGGGAATCATCAGCTATAGGTAAATGGTAATTAAGGCACTACAAATAGAGTGAATCAACCTGGAAAAAGTGTATAGCATGAGGATAAACGAGGGCCATGATGAATGCAGATATTTAAAGGATACACAGGGGGAAAGTTTCAGAAAGAAGACAGAAAAGAGGAAGCCTGAGTTCCAGAAGGAATACCCAGAGAAGGTGACGCCATCCAGGCCAAGGAAAGATAATTTCAAGGAGAGACTGCTAAAAGTCAAGCAAAACAAGCGCAGGCATTGATCCTTTGGATTTAGGCACAAAGAGGTGACAGATGACTGCGGAGAAAGTGTTTTCCATGGAATGGTGGAATCAGATTCCAGTTGTGCTGTTATGATGCATATATGCAGCTTGACACAAGTTAGTCTACATGTCTCCTGGTGCTCCTTCAAGAACCCCAGCTATGACTGAGGGGCCACAGGACCTCCACCTGTGCACCTTACACAGCCTCCTCACACACAGAAAGCACTCAATAATCACTTGTGGGAAATAAATGCAAATTGATATCCCCACTTTTAACAACTTCATTTGGAAGCCTAGTAAAAATTACTGGAGAGAGGAGAGGAAAAGATGCTTACATCTGCTCACTGACCTGTTTGGCATTTTTCTATCTCTCCCCCTGATTTCCAGGCATTAAATTAATCATGCCCTTTCTTCCTACCTTTACTCCTGGGTCAATAGACAAGGCCTTTCTGGTCTAATTAGACTCTTAAATGAGCTCTAGATGCTTAAGGAAGAGCCTAGGCTGAGGAATCCAAACCACCCTCCTTTCTTCTATCTAGTCCTATTTAGTTGATGCCACAAAAAAATAGGCTGGTTTTGCATCTGGTTATTTCTGCCTGGGCCCTTTGTGATCTCTCTCAGAGGGTGACCGCTCATCACTCAGATGACACAGAGGAGATCCACACCAGCAACAGTCCAAGTAGCCAGCATTTATTAAGCATTTCCTATGAGCCGGATATCATGCAGATGTTCCTACAGAACTTCTTCAATCACATCACAGTTCTGTTCAAAATCCTCACTGGCTCCACATTGTACAAAGAATAAATGTAATTTGCATCTAATTCTTATCTAATGCCTTTAATTCATTCAGAACTAAGCAAAACAAAGAAGGGATATATTAGGTTAAAAGGCTACCATTAGGCCAGGTGTGGTGGCTCACACCTGTAATCCTTGCATTTGGGAGGCCAAGGCAGGAGGATAGTTAGGGCCAGGAGATTGTAGACCAACATGGCAAGACCCTACCTCTATGTAATACAAAGAAAAAAGCTACTGTGAGATTGCAGGAATACATTTGGGCTAAAAGTTCCCTATTTGTTCCTCCAACAAGGTCCATTCTAAAAGAATGTCCTCTCTGATTAAATAAAACAGCAAATATGTGTGTGTGTGTGTGTGTGTGTGTGTGTGTGTGTGTGTATTCTCTTTCCCTGGAGTAGTCAATTTGTTAATTATGGCAACAACCACATTCTATTACTATTGGAGCTCATTCTCATGACAGATTACACAAATAGTCTTCAGTGCAAATCACCTTACAAAGGGAAGACATCACTTAAAACTGTAAGCCTAAACATCAGGGGGAAATGGAAGTATTTCATAGGTGATGCCGAGTATTAGCTATTATTGTGGATTATTTAGCGGTCTCACACCAGGGGAGCAGAAAACTGAACATGGTGAGAAATACTCAGAATTAAGAATTTGTTTCTTCACCATCTCTACCAGCTATCAATGTATTGCCTTTCCAATCCAAAATCACCCAGCATTGCCTGCTCTGTACAAATGAGTTTTAGTCCTTTAAATAACTCATTTCACCAGCTGGCGTAATGCTACATGTTGTCCATGGAGGGTGCTGAAGAGACATTTGAGCTGGAAGGGTTTTTCTCCATTGAGGGCAGGCTTCTGCAGCACAGGTGGCTTCCCATGCCCAGTTCCTGCTGTGCAAGCAGCTTCTTCAATGTCTGGCTTCTGCAGCATGCACGGCTTCTCTCAGCATCCAGCTCCCGCAGTGCAGGCAGCTTCCTGAGCACCAAGCTTATGAAGTGCATAGTAGTTAGTAGCACTTGGGAAGTTTATAGTAGAGTCCTCTACTATAGCAGAGTAGGGAGACACTTCTCTGTGACAGTTTTCCTTAGCACCTTAGGACGCATTGCCTACAAGCTCCAAAGGGCAGATTCTAGCAAGTTACACCAGTGCAGCACCCCAACATCTCTGCCATTCAGTAAGTCACAGCACTGTCCTCTCCAACAATCACTAGGTCTCAGCCTAGAGGGTCTCTTCCTGTGATGCTCTGTCTCAGTTTTATGGGTAGTGGCTGGCTGCACCTTATATCTGATATTCCTATCTTCTTTAGAGCTCTCTTTTCTTCTTACTAGTCAATCCCTCATGACTTTAACCGCTGTAATAGTTAATTCTTTATATTAAAGTCTCCTCACTCAAGTTACCATATGACTGCTGCCTCCTGATTGGTCCCTGATTGACACACTGTTGCATATGCACAGGCACACACACATACACACACACAAACACAATGGCTTATAAACTTTAAAATGGGTACAAACTGTTTTAAACCCTCCAGCCCCCAGCTCCCAAAATCAAACTTTCGCTAGGCTAGAGATGAATATACTAACTTATTTTATCCTCATAGTACCCCTAAAGGACTGGTATTTTTAATCCCAGTTTTACAGACGGGGAACTGACATGTTGAGTGGTTAAATGACTTACCCAAGTTCCCAACACCATATAGAATGTTTTATACATTAGTAGCACCAAGACTGTGCTATGCAGAACTCCTATTAACCTCAATAGGGAAGGCACCATGCTCAAGTGGCCAAAGAAGAGACCTGGAGCCAGCAAATGAGACATGGGGTTTTACTGGGGGCTTCCATACGGGGGAAAGAGTCCAGTAGTTGCAGGCTGGGTAGGAGAACTGCCTTCCGTACAGAAACAGTCTAGGGGTGGTGGCTTGGACAAGATATCCGCCTTACATAACAGTCCAATGGTGGAAGGCTAGACAACATAACCACAGGGCCCAATGGCAGTGGGTTAGGCAGGAAAACCACAACTGCCTGCAAACAGCATGAAGTTTATATACAGCATTTTCACTTAACACCATCCCCTTAACGACCTTCACCTGGCAACCTTCATGTAACCCAAAACCCAGGGCCTCAATCCCCTGTACAGCCCGTGTTCCACAAGATGGGCTGGGAGCTCAGATGTTTATCATACATAAGGAACGAATCTCCAGGTTGGCCATTCCCAGAATCCCTAGCTCCGAGCACACATTCAGGTGCATCTGAATACAGGGTGACTCTAAGGGTATGCTTAGATTATTGTTGTCAGGTGCATTTAGGCAACAGACTGAGCTACGTCGTTCCAAAACTAGAGAAGTCATTTACCTAAGATTAAGGACTGTCCTGACTTGTTTTTCTTTTTTCTTTTTTTTTTTTTTTTTTTTTTTTTTGTGACAGAGTCTCACTCTTGTTGCCCAGGCTGGAGTGCAGTGGCGCCATCTCGGCTCACTGCAATCTCTGCCTCCCGGGTTCAAGCGATTCCCCTCCCCTGCCTTAGCCTCTCCAGTAGCTGGGATTACATGCACATGCCACCATGCCCAGGTAAGTTTTGTATTTTTAGTAGAGACCGGGTTTCTTCATGTTAGCCAGGCTGGTCTTGAACTCCTGACCTCAAGTGATCCGCCCCCTCTCCTCGGCCTCCCAAAATGCTGGGATTACAGGTGTGCTTAACTTCTCTCGTAAAAGTCAGGATTCAAACCCAGGCTAATTCAGAAATACACACTCTTAACTGCTGTAATACACACACAACCTTGACGCTCCAACATTTTATTGCTATGTGATGGAGAGTACGGGGGTAAAAATAATTCCAATAGAGACTTCAAGCTTGCCCTGGACTTCTGGGAAATAAACCGTTCATGAAATTCTACCCACGTCAGACTTCGTGGCTGCTGCAGTGAAAGAGGCATAGCCAGAGACCAGCAACTGAGGAAGGAGAGATGATGTCAGTCAAGCATCTTTTCTGTGTTTATGTTGATACCCAATATCCAAATTAGCAGCCAGCATTTTCAATACAGGGGACAATTAGTAGCAATAAGACTGACAGATGTGTCTCTCCAAAACTGGGTAAGATATTTATCTAAGATTAAGGGTCATTCTCAATTTCTTTTTCCCTAGCCTTCCTCTTAAAAAAAAATTTTAAATCCACCTGCAAAGCATTTGTTGGAGAATTTTTAATGACTTATTAAATCCCAAATCATTATCAAAAAAAGGCTCGCATCTGCAAAGGCTTAAATATTGTAATCCATTCTCCTCTCTCTAGAACTCACATTAACCTCCAAAAGAGCGGTGCCAACAGATAAACAGAGGAAAAGCCAAACAAACAAGAATGTTTTAAAGCGAAATCCTTCCTTGGAAAAATAGCTACATCTTTTTATTTCAGTTAAATCCTGGCTTAGAACTCTGTTTTGCTTGAATCAAAGAGCAAGGTGGGCTGCCAACACTGACTTCCCGGTGCCTACTGGAGGAAGTCCAACCCCACAGGCCAGAACTCAAGGCCTTTAGAGACTAGCTTCGCCTTATTGGCGTAGATGCATCTTCTCCTCGCCCAGGTCTAAGATTCAGCCAGGACTCACAGGAATAGCTCCTCCATTTATTAAAATATTGCAGTACTTTTGTACTAGCCCCTCCCCCATGACCTCACTACCTCACCCATCTTTCCACCATCCAGCAACTAACAGGGTAAATGCTTGGCACAACCAGGAGACCTCTAGGACCTGTTCCAGGCCTATGCCAGCATAAGTCCTTGGTCATCAGTGTTTCTGCCAATCAGCCCCCCAAAACTCCTGCTGCTTGTGTGGTCTTTGCCAGAGTAGTTGAGAACCCCAACAGAGGAAAGGGCATTCCTGACACTGGCACCTGTTACTGACATTCTGGTGGACAAATACATGATACCCACGTAGACCCCTGAGGCTGTGATCTTTCACTACCAGCCTGCTCTTCTGGGGTTGATCTCATGTAGCTACTGGTGGCAACTGCAGCCTCTGGGGACTTCAGCTATGAGACATTCTGGGTTCAACAAGGAAAATGGAAAAGCAGGAAGGCTGGCAGTAAGAGGCCCCATCCTACATACTGGCCAAGAACTATGGGTTTTGTCAGTACAGTGGATTCTAGTAGGCCCTCCAGCAACAGGAGTGAGGCTACAAATAACAGAACCCATGGCAGTGGTTTAGGTCAGGTGGCATCCTAGGCATGGGCCCCTAGGAATTTCACCTTTCATTTAATGGAATGCGTTGTTAAAAACCTTCTGGATTCTTACCCATCATAGGCAATAACAACATTAATTTTATTCATAAAAATGAGAATTATCACATATACAGCATGAACCATGCTAAAGGCATATTCACTTAGTTGAGTACTATAAACATCAATATAATTATCCCCATTTTACAGAAAAATAAAACTGAGGCACAGAAAAATTATTTAAATTTAAGATACAGAACCAAAATTTGAACCAGGCATTCCAGAAATAGGGCTGTGTTTCCTCTCTTCTAGCCTGAAGAATTAAGACCTAATCAAAGATGACGTTCCAAAAAACTGTTTTTGTGACACATTTCATAATAGAGATAGTGAATATTTTAAAGCCTCAGAAAGTACTATTAATATAAGAGCTGGGAAATCTTGAGTGTAATTGGTGTGAGATCAGCAGATGCTGAGATTATTTAACCCCATGAGCATTACTGGGAGAGTCATTGCAAGGGTTTGATGCAGTTCCTCACGTCAAATTATGACTCAAATAGGGGCATTGTTTAGCTAGTGATAGATCAAATGAAGAATCCTAATAATTTGCCAAATTGAAAAATTGTATGTAAGTTATTAGAATAATATCTTAATTGATTTTTACTACAAACTACATCACTTGGCAAAGAGTTTTATAATATAAATGTGATTTAGCGATATGTGAAAATCAAGGTGATATGTTACTTATTTTTGTTTACATTAATGTATTACCACTACATCAACAAACGTGTTTTCATTCCAACCCTGTCCGTGCCCCAACATCATATTCCCCACCAAGTCAAACTAGTCTGTACATGTTCACTAGCCTTCATTCCTACGACAACCCCACCAGCCCCAAAACATTCACTTTGTTGTTTTTTTTTTTAAATGGAGTCTCACTCTGTCACCCAGGCTGGAGGGCAGTGGTGTGATCTTGGCTCACTGAAACCTCTGCCTCCTGGGTTCAAGCAGTTCTCCTGCCACATCCTCCTGTGTAGCTGGGATTACAGGCATGTGCCACCACGTCTAGCTAATTTTTCTATTTTTAGTAGAGATGGGGTTTCACCATGTTGGTCAGGCTGATCTTGAACTTTTGACCTCATGATCCACCTGCGTCGGCCTCCCAAAGTGCTAGGATTACAGGTGAGCCATCACGCCCAGCCACATCCACTTTTTTCATCCACTCAGATCAGTTCCTCAAAGACATCCCTAAAGCTCTTCGCTTGGGTTCTACCCAACCCCTCTTCATCTTAACTGCCTGTAGTGGGTCGAATAGTGTTCCTCAAAATTCATGTCTACCTGGAACCACAGAATGTGACCTTATTGGAAAACAGGGTCTTTGCAGATGTAGTTCATTAAGACAAAGTCATACTGGATTAGGGTGGGCCCAAAATCCAAAGAAGAAGAGGAAAAGACACACAGAGAGTCACAGAGAGAAGAAGCCATGTGAAGATGAAGACAGAGATCGGGGTGATACAGCTGTAAGGCAAGGAATGCCAAGGATGGCTTGGAGATGCAGAAGCTAGAAGAGAAGCATGGGACCAGTCTCTTCCTCTGAGCCTCGAGAGGAACCAACCCTGACAACAGCTTTATTTGGGATTTCTGGCCTCCTGAACTGTGAGAGAACAAATTGCTGTTGTTTTAAGCCATCCAGTTTGTGGCAACTCATATGGCAGCCCTAAGAAACAAATCCACTGCCCTTAACACCTGTGGTCTACCAGTGGTTCCCACATTTTAGTGTGTTAGAATCACCTGGAAGGATTGTCAAAACACAGAGTAGTGGGCCGCAACCCCAGAGCCTCTGATGCAGTAGGCCTGAGGCGGAGCTGAGAATTTGCTTGTCAGGGGATGCTGATGTTGCTGATCTGAGGACCACATTTTGAGAACCACTGGTCTGTACCATCCATTTGAGCACTAATCGCATTTAATTTAAAACTTCATTACATCATATTTTACATCATGTTTATAATCAGCTCATAAATGCAAGGTTTGCCTTCCCAGTGATCCCATGCTTGCCACAAAATCCACATTTTAACCTACTTTTATTTAGCCACAGGACAACACGGTGGCTGGCACATCACTAAATTGAATAACCCAAACATTATGGTTGACAGCATCAACTTTATGCTCTTAAATCTCATTCCCTCATTTGTAAAATGAGGTTAGTGGTATTTAATAGGAATCTTTGTGAAGATCGAATGAGATAACTTCAGTAAAATGCCTATTATATTATCTGAATTATAGAATGCATGCAATAAATGTTAAGTACTATTCTTTTGGGATGTTGTTTTTATTAATGCACACAAAGTCAGCTACATCTAGGAGGAACTGTCTGAAACAACAGATATGCCAAAACTGAAATCTGGAACTTGTAAGAAGTCTAAACTCAAGTGGTTATGAACTTTGTGCATACCACATAGTCAGGAAGAGTGCTGGTAGTCTAGGCTTTCGCTGCACACAAACCCTCTCTGCTCCTCCACTGTGACTCTGGATTGGCATGGCCTTGGCAAGGGGTTTATGCAGATTTATGCTTCAAGAAGATTGCTAACAGCTATAGCACACTTTATTCACTCCATTTATAATATTACAAAGGACCCTGAGTTTTAGAGAAAAACAGGATGTTAAAATCAAAACAAGTCAGGATAAGCTTGATACTGAAGCAACAAATGCTGAACTTCTCCCAGAAGGTCAGCTACTTTGAAGGTAATGAACAGAATTTAGGAGTAGAATACCTGGTTCAGAGCTTAGAGGTCCCCAAGAAATAGTTGATACAGAGAATTTCAGCTCAGTTCAGCAGAAATTTGTTGAATATCTACTATATGCCAGGCCATCTGCTAAATTTGATGAATACAGAAGGGAAGAATACCACCAAGGTTCCTACCCCAGTGAATCTCAGAGTGGAACGAGGTTTAAGTAAACATCCAAAGTCACAGACTAAGCCAGAGGCAGGAAACAGAGTTCAAATCATGAAATTATGGGGCTACTGTATCCCATTCCCTGGAGCTGAGTCATCACTACCTCTCAGAAGCCAAATGCCCAACTAACTCCCTAGATCCCAGCCTCTTACCCACCTAGAGACCTCCCCAGGTGCCAACTACCTGTGGCACAGACCTCTCCTGATTGCATTGCCCACGTGGTCCCAGAGTCAGTCTTCATCCAGTTTATTCCATTTAGTCACCTATGCTCTCCAAGCCCTTTAATGGAAATGTTCAGATCTTAGTCTAATTGGAAAAGAAGAGACAAAAAAATAGAGTCGAAAGGAGGCTGAGGGGTGTGGTGACGCATGCCTGTAATCCCAGCTACTCAGGATGCTGAAGCAGGAAAATAACTTGAACCCAGGAGACAGAGGCTGCAGTGAGCCAAGATCGTGCCACTGCACTCCAGCCTGGATGACAGAGTGAGACTCTGTCTCAAAAAAAAAACAAACAAAAAAAAAAAACAAGGAACCAAGGAGGCTGAGGCTGAGGTCCCAAAGCCCAGCAAAGATGGTGGGTGTCCTCGGGTGGCACCACAGCTATTGACTGCTACTCTGAGAGAAGTGCTTCATCTTCTAAGGGTGGAGAGAAAAAGAACAATGAGTGTGCTGGCAGCAAACGAAGGAAAAACACAGAAAAGGCAAAAGGAAAATAAGAGATGGGAAAAAGATAAGACCCTAACCCATAACTGTGACATTTGACCACAGAAAAATCTAACCTTGCCCAGTGACCAAATGTCCAAATTTCCAGAGTCAATTAAATATGAAATATTCTTTCTCAATCACAAAATCATATATTTCATTCTGCCCCCATTCCCCCAAAAACATCATGTCCTACTGGCTGGCAAATAGTTCACTGGAGTAAATGGAGACCTTTCTGTCACTTTCTCATCAAGTGCCACTGAAGGTGTAAGAAAATTCATGTTGCAAGATATGCTGTCACACTTCATAGTCGTGAATAGTGAAGGTAGATGATAATGAAAAAAGCAAGTACAGACAAAAATCTCAAAGGCAACAGGCAACATGAAGTGAGGATGTGGGTAATCCTCTAAGTAAAAGTGCACAGTCATTTTCAGAGTCAAATTCTGGCCACTAAACTAGCAAGATGATACTCAAGAAGTTCATGTCAGGAAAATTACATGGCAGATTTGAAGGCAGTGGAGCCAGGGGTCTGGTCTCTTCAGTGTTTCTGTTAAAGCCAGCAATAAAAAGGGAAAGCGTCTTTCCACAAACTTCGACACTTGTCCTAGTCCCTTTCCTATACTCACCCAGAACTGAGCTCCCTTGCCCCTTCCTTGACGCTCACTAAATAGAAGCAGACAGTGAGTGAGCATCTACCCTATAACAGCCACAGAGCCAAGTGCATGCAGGGGACTCAGCAGTGACAAGGACGTATGTGGCCTCTGCCTTCATGAAGACTGGATGGGAAGATGAATAAACAGCTTTAAATAATAATTTAATGACACTGATGACATAGGCTAAGGAAGAAGGCAGGAAGAAAAATGTTAGGGTATGTTCAACACAGCCTGACTCCACTTAGCCAGGAAGAAAACTGCTGAAAACTTCTCCAGCACCCAAGTCACAATGCTGACATAAACCCAATATCGACATGGGGTGTTATTTATGTCCCCATGAATTTAATTGACTGGTGATTTCCACTGGCTCAGTTCCTTCGTTTTCCAGTTGAGCAATTTTACAGACTCTTATGATCTCCCACAACTTGCAAGGTAAGGTGAGGAGCCTTTCCTTTAAATAGGGCCCTGAGGCTTCTCCATGTCTTAGATACTGTTTCAGGAAATGCCTAAAGCACAGAACTTAAAACAAAAACCATAAAGGGAGAAGACTGTAAAAAGTAGACGGTGTCTGAGCATCCAACTGTAACATGCTTAAACTAAAGGAGAACATGATTACATTTTTAAAAATTGGGAGAATAGGCCTTATATATAATAGAGATTATAACGTCACTGTGTGACTTTGGTTTTCCATCTGCCTTGGTTTTCCCAACAGTAACTTAGGTTGATTATCTTTATTCACATCTGGGTTGAAAATTATTATTATTGACTCCGCAATGAAAACAATCTTCTATACAAATATTTCTTTTTTTCTTCTAAAGAGAGATCCCATCTAACCCCTGTGGAATATCTAAAGCCACTTTGAAGATAGGACCACAGGCATGTTCTAATCACCATCATTCACAAAAGGACCTATAAATGGACAGCCCAAAATAGAGATTGTAATTCCTGCCCACAAGATATTTAATCTGGTATAGCTCAACTTTATTCCTTTATTCTCTAGTCAGTCAGTGAATCCATGAAATTTACTGGGCACCCACAAAGAAACACACCCTAAGAATATTCAAAATGAATAGAAACATGGCTCCTTCCTCCATCCATGGCCTCTGGCTTCTTAGTTACAATTCAATGACTCATAAGCTATAAAAATTAAAATAGTACAAATGATTTAAATAGATTTAGGTGGGATTGCACAACAGCACACAAAGGCTTTCAAAAAAAGACTTATTGAATGAGAAACATAAATCAGTCCAATCTAACTTTAGTTTGAGCCCAGTAGCTTAACACTCCCTTTTCAGCTCAAAGTGGAAAACAGCCAGTGCAAAACACCTTATGTTAAGGTGGAATCTATAACATAATTGCTATGGCACTCTATGGGCAGTAAAATTTAAGGAGGTGCTATTCAAAGTGCAAGTCTCCAAAATGGTTGTTACCCATGTCCAAGGAGATGAGGCGTTTGGAGGAGGATGTAGATCATGCACTGCTTCCTTCATCAACAGAATTTTGTCTCTCCCCTCCCCCATAAAAACGTCATCTAGCCTAAAGATGTAGTTGATTTGTATGCTAGCTCAAGGTTCATTATGTCATCAAGGATGGTTACTGGTTTAGAGACTTCAGCCTGTCCTAAGACCACATTTTGAATGGAACTGATTGAAGGAATAAGAGCTTGAAATCTGGAGTCAGGGAGGCTGGGGTTTGTATCACAACTTCATTACTTCTGTCTATATAACTTTGGGCAAATAACTCCCCCTGCCTCAGTCTATTTAGTTGTAAAATGATAATAATAACACCCACTACAGTGGGTCATTATGAAGATTAAAGGAGAAAGTGTCTAAAACATTTAACGGAGCATGGCATGTGATCAACAACAGGAGAATGTTACTCAGCTTTGTGATTTGGGTCCTTCATATTTTCTTTCTTTATACAGTAGAATGTTATAGTTAGAAAAAAACTCAGAGGTCAGAGTGTTCCACTCAAAGCAAAATGGATTCTTTCTCCTATGACTTTTATTTCTTGCTACATAGAGCAAAAGAAAACAATTATACAATGGGGTGTAGAGAAAGAATGTCTATACTAAAGGTCTCAGAATTCCTAGGTCCTAGTCCTGACTTATGACAGAACCCCCTGGGGGAATTCATTCTATTATTTGAGCCACAACTTCCTCATCTTTTAAACTAAAATAGTGAAGGGCGGGACTAACGCTTCAATCACAATGATAATATTACCTCTGCGGCCTACATCATAGTCACTGCTCAAATAAAACTGTGTCTGTGAAAGCATTTTATTAGCCACAGAATGTGAATACATATGTGAGTGTTCAAGGAAGATGCCCCAAGTAAGTACTTCAGCTAGGAAGGAGCGTTCATGCCCTCCTGGTCCAGAATCTCATGTCTTCGGCTACTTGCCATACAGTATTCTCTTGAATGACTTCCACAGCAACTTCCCTCTGCATCCCTGAGCCAAACAGGGGAAGAGCTGTAAAAGCAATTCCCAGGCTCTGTCACTGTCGATCAGCTCTCCCAGCTGCCTCCGGAAACCCACTCCATAAGTTAATTACCCATTGTGAGAAAGCCATTTATCCTCAAATCCCTGAGCACAGAGCCTTTCAGGTTGGTGCCCTCTAGTTTTTTGAAACTTGTTGCTTCTAATTGGTTGTGACATCCACCTTCTCTGTATGCCACGGAATATCTTCCCTTGCTTTCCTCTTCCCAGGTTTCATATTGCCATTGGTATTAATTCTGGGGTTTTCTGAAATCTTTGAAGACTTCATAGACACTTTTAGGCCATCTTAAAATGTAAACTGGTGAGAGGAGTGGAAAAAAGACACACAGAAAAACTGACAGACTCATCTCGAAAGATACTGACCTGAAATTGGAAATAGTCACTGAGTAGGGTGGACACAAACAGAATATTCGGATAAGGAGCAGAAACTCGAAAGGAGTCCTATCCTACAGGTAGAACTTGGTATTAGGAGGCATTAGAAGTGGTCTAAGTCAAACTTAAATATGTATAAAAATTACCTGGGCCTTGGGTAGATCACGAGGTCAGGAGATTGAGACCATCCTGGCTAACATGGTGAAACCCCGTCTCTACTAAAAATACAAAAAAAATTAGCCGGGCGTGGTGGCAGGTGCCTGTAGTCCCAGCTACTGGGGAGGCTGAGGCAGGAGAATGGCGTGAACCTGGGAGGCGGAGCTTGCAGTGAGCCGAGATCGCGCCACTGCACTCCAGCCTGAGCAACTGAGCAAGACTCCGTCTCAAAAAAAAAAAAAAATTACCTGGGCCTTTCTCCTTATGCCTTTTACTCTCTGCTGTATAGACCAACAGAAAACAAATACATTATGAGTTATAGAGGAAAAATAACTAGACCACTGTCTTTTTTAAGATACAAAGTCTAATTCAGTCGGTTTAGAGCGGGGCCTGAGATTCTGAATTTTTAACCAACTCTCAGGCAGCGCAGGTGCTGCTGGGCCCTAGGCGAGCTATAAAAGCAAGTGGTTAATAAAATGGAAATGCATGAAGAAGCAACAGGAAAATAGGCAGATAGTCTCAAAGACAGCCTGGTCTAGGGAAGAGAATCACACGGAAGGATTTATGTATTTATGCAACAGATTCTTGTAGATTCCTACTTTTTTACAGCAGATATGCTATAAGCTATATTCTCTCAACATAAACCAATGAACAAGACAGAATTGCTTTCATCCACATACAGTTCATAATCTAATAGACTCTGATTTCAATTCATCAGTAAATAACAGGTGAGACCAGCAGGTTCACAAAGACAAGCGCTCTACGTAGAACTCCCACATCAGAAAATCCATTCAGCAATGCCTCAAAAATGCCTCCACTTCTGTTCATCTCCACTGCTGTTGCTGTCGCCCATGTCTCCATCTACAGCTTCCCCTGGCCTGCCACAGCCTGTCTCCTAATTAGTCTCCAAGATTCACCCCTCCCTTCCTGCTTCCAGGTCACACTCTGTCAACAGCTGTCAGCAATCTTTTATAAATATAAATTGTAACACTACTTCTGCCCAAGATAGAGAAAGAGAGAATGAATTTACCCTGTTGTGTGAAACAAACAAAAAAAGACAACATTTATGAAACAGTAATTTTGAAGACACTCAACATCAGGCAATGGGAACAGCGATCCCTGAGAGATGTCAAACAAATAAGGTAAGTCCTGTAATTTTCCCCACTTTTCTATCTTGAGATGGTTTCCAGGCAGCGGCTCAGGGAAGGGGAACTCAGGCAGAGCCCAATGGACTCCTGAGTTGAGACACAGTCTCAGTGTCTGGGGAGACCAAGGCCACCAAAGTCCACAGCACTGCAGAGGAGAGAGCTGCACAGACTAGCCTAGGTTGATGCACAGAGTCCCCCTTGTGTATTCAGCAGAGTAGTGATTGGCAGGTATGTATGAAAAACTACCTGTGGCCAGGGAACATAAACATCCAAAAGGATTAGATGCCAGCTCCCTGTGCTCATCGCCTGGGAACTCAGGCCCACACCAGCTACTGAATCAGAAACTCTGGAGGCAGGGCCTAGAGATCTGTGTTTTCACAAAGCTTCCAAGTAGTAGTGTGATGCACATTCAAGGTTGAGAATCACTGCCCTAATACAGTGATTCTTTGGGCAGAATATTGAACCATCTCGGAGATCTGAAAAATTCTCCCACCTACAATGTAGGCCCCACATAGACACCAATTATATCACTCTATGGCTTAGTAGGTCTGGATGTGCCCTGAAATTTTTCATTTCTTTCTTTTTTTTTTTTTTTTTTTTTTTTTTTAGACGGAGTCTCGCTCTGTCTCCCAGGCCGGACTGCGGACTGCAGTGGCGCAATCTTGGCTCACTGCAAGCTCCGCTTCCCGGGTTCACGCCATTCTCCTGCCTCAGCCTCCCCAGTAGCTGGGACTACAGGCGCCCGCCACCGCGCCCGGCTAATTTTTTGTATTTTTAGTAGAGACGGGGTTTCACCTTGTTAGCCAGGATGGTCTCGATCTCCTGACCTCATGATCCACCCGCCTCGGCCTCTCAAAGTGCTGGGGAAAATTTTCATTTCTAACAACTTTCCAGGTGAGGCTTGTAGCCACTGGTCTGGAAACCCCACTTTGAAAAACAACTGGTCCAGAGTCTGAGGAGACCAAAGCCAGCCATTAGGCATCATAGAGCTCTAACCGTCGTGGGACATATGGGGGATGGAATGCCACAGCTAGGAAATTGCGCAGAGCCTGACAGGTTGCCTTAAACCCCTTAAAAGAAGGGGGAATCACTATATTCCAAAGTACGCTAATTGGGGACAACTGTAACCATTAAAAATTTCTTACACAGATTAAGCCAAATTTTAGCTTCCTATAACCTTT
This sequence comes from Homo sapiens, assembly GCF_000001405.40. NCBI lineage: Eukaryota > Metazoa > Chordata > Mammalia > Primates > Hominidae > Homo > Homo sapiens. The sequence goes on along the minus strand of NC_000005.10, from coordinate 155,247,971 downwards.
ACGCTGTTAATCTTTATTAATTCCTTTTCCCTGTTCTGACTCTTCCATTTTTCTCCCTTTTGAAGAAATTAAATCAAAACTATTATCTCAAGCTACAGTTAATTATTTTTAGTAATATGATGTTATTTGTCTTGTCAGTTTCTTAATATTCTGAACCTATTAGGACTATGGTACTCAAACTTCAATGTCCATTACAATTGCATAGGAACCTGAAAAAAATGCAGACAATTAAGAATTCCAGGGAAGATGGCAGACAGGAGATAGGGCTATCATGTAAGCTCCCATGTGGACTGGACTGACAGAACAGCTTGTGGAGATTTACGCCGTGATCTTTTGCTCCAAGAACCACCACTGGAACATACCAGGAAAACCAAAATAATTCACAGACCCTTTGAAAGAAGTGGGACGCCACTGCAAATTCCACAAGCCAGGTGAAAAACTGAGTTCCCAAAGTGTGATCCGGGAAAACCTACCTCTGAACACACATCCACACTGGAAAATCTGAAAATCCAGATCACAGGAGAAGGACTTAACCCTGCCTAGAGATGAAACTGTTACTAGTGGAAGGTATCTGAATCACCGGTGGTGAATCCTTAAGGGTCTGTAGCAACCTCAATTCTTGGCTCCTCAGAAGAAAGAATTCGATTGAGGGGCATAAAGCAGAGAAAGAGACCAAGGCAAGTTTCAGTGCAGGAGTGGAAGTTTATTTTTAAAAGGCTTTAGAACAGGAAAGAAAGGCAAGTACACTTGAAAGAGATTCAAGAGGGCAACTTGAAGAACAAATGCAGTGTTTAACCTTGATCTAGGGCTTTATAGGCTGGCCCACCTCCAGCATCTTACACCCCTTTCCCATGAGTCTTCCTTTAGAATGGGCTGCCCACATGCACAGGTGCCCTCCTTACTTTTGGGAAGTGAGCAGGTGCAGTGTGTTTAGGAATTTGTATGCATGCCCATCTGAGTCTTTCTTCCCTTTTCTTGTGGAGTGTCCTTTGAAGATCACACTCCACCATTTTTTTCTCTTAATGCATATGCCCAGGAAGTTGCTTCTCCCTGGCATTTGCATTTAAGTAACAGTTTAGTGCAAAAGGCAACTGGTGCCAGGAAATGGCCTCTCCCTGGCATCAGCTGCCAATTTGTCACTTTTAGAGAGGCAATGTGATCATTGCTAGACCATCACCCCGCATTCCTGGTGGGTTGGGGAGAGCCTTCTCCTGCCCAGTTCACGCCTGTCTATCTGTAACAAAATGGGTTTAGAGAGTCATGAGACATATAAAAGTACAAGTAGCAATGGGAAGTGCCTCGAATGCACTCCCAGTCTCCAGCTTGAGCCCCAAGAAGCCATCCCTGACTATATCTCACAGGAGCCTTTGGGGAAGTCAGCGAGACCACGAACCCACCAGAAGGAACAAACTCTGGACACACTATGAGACAAAAGCATCAGACAACCTATAAAGGAAAATCTCTATCAGATTAACCGCATACTTCTCAACAGAAACTTTCCAAGCCAGAAGGGAAGCCATCTTCAGCCTCCTGAAACAAAATAATTGTCAGCCAAGGATTCTGTATCCAGTGAAACCAAGCTTCATAAATGACAGAGATAGCCTTTTTCAAACAAATGCTAAGAGAATTCACCACTACTAAGCCAGCACTATGAGAAATGCTTAAAGGAGTTCTAAATCATGAAACAAAAACCTCAAAATACACCAAAATAGAAACTCCTTAAAGCGTAAATCTCACAGGGTGTATAAAACAATAACACAATGAGAAAAAAAAAGCAGGTATTAGGGCAGTAACTAACATGATGAATAGAACAGTACTTCACATCTCAATACTAACATTGCATGTAAATGGGCTAATGCTCCAGTTAAAAGATACAAAGTGGCAAAATTGATAAAAATCCACAAACCAAGAATCTGCTCTCTTCAAGAGACTCACCTAACACATAAGGACTCATAAACTTAAGGTAAAGGAGTAGAAAAAGATATTCCATGCAAATGGAAACCAAAGGTAAGCAGGAGAAGCTATTCTTATATCAGACAAAACAGACTTTAAAGCAACAGTGAAAAAGAAAAAAAAGACAAAGAGGGACATTATATAATGATAAAAGGAATAGTCCAATAGGAAACTATTATAATCTTAAATATATATGCCCTAATCCTGGAGCTCCCAAATTTATAAAACAAATACTATCAGACCTAAAAAATGAGATAGATGGCCACGCAATAATAGTGGGGGACTTCAATACTCCACTGACAGCACTAGGCAGGTCATCAAGACAGAAAGTCAACAAAGAAACAATGGACTTAAACTATACCCTAGAATAAATGGATTTAACAGATCTTTACAGAACATTCTACCCAACGACTGCAGAATACATTGTTTTCTTCAGCACATGGAACATTCTCCAAAATAGAACACATGATAGTTCAGAAAACAAGTCTCAATAAATTTAAGAAAATTAAAATTTTATCAAGTATCCTCTCAGACCACAGCAGAATAAAACTAGACATTAACTGCAAAAGGAACACCCAAAACTAAACAAAAACATGGAAATTAAATAATCTGCTCTTGAATGAACTTTGGGTCAAAAATGAAATCAAGATGGTAATTTAAAAATTCTTTGTACTGAACAATAATCCTGACACAACTTATCAAAACCTCTGGGATACAGCAAAAGCAGTGCTAAGAGAAAAGTTCCTAGCATTAAATGCCTACATCAAAAAATCTGAAATGGTGCAAATAGACAATCTAAGGTCACACCTCAAGGAACTAAAGAAACAAGAACAACCAAACCCAAACCCAGCAGAATAAAATAAATAACAAAGATCAGAGTAGAACTAAATCAAACTGAAACAAAAAAAAAATACAAAAGATAAATGAAACAAAAAGCTGGTTCTTTAGAAGGATCAACCAAATTGATAGACCATTAGCAAGATTAACCAAGAAAAGAAGACAGAAGATACAAATAGGCTCAATTAGAAATGAAACGGGAGATATTACAACTGATACCACAGAAATACAAAAGATCACTCAAGGCTACTATGAATACCTTTACACACACAAACTCAAAAATCTAGAGGAGATGGACAAATTCCTGGAAATATACAACCCTCTCAGATTAAATCAGGAAGAAATAGAAACTCTGAACAAACTAAAAATGGTAATTTATATGATTTATATAAAACAGTGATTTTAAAATTGCCAACAAGAAAAAAGTCCAGGACCAGATGAATTCACAGCTGAATTCTATCAAACATTCAAAGAATTGGTAACACTTTTACTGAAACTATTCCAAAAGATAGAGAAAGAGGAAATTCTCCCTAAATCATTCTATGAAGCCAGTATCACCCTAATTCCAAAACCAGGAAAGGACATAACAAAAAAAGGAAACTACAGATGAACAACCCTGATGAACACAGATGCAAAAATCCTCAACAAAATACCAGCTAACCGAATCCAACAGCATATCAAACTATAATACACCATGACTGATATGGTTTGGCTCTGTCTCCACCCAAATCTCATCTTGAAATGTAGTTCCCATAATCTCCATATGTCATGGGAGGGACCAGATAGAGATAATTGAATCATGGGGGCAGTTTCCCCCATCCTGTTCTCATGATACTGAGTTAGTTCTCATCAGATCTGATGGTCTTATAAGGGGCTTCCCCCTTCACTGGGCACTCATTCTTCTTCACCCTGCTGCCACGTGAAGAAGCACGTGTTTGCTCCCGCTTCCACCATGATTGTAAGTTTCCTGAGGCCTCCCAAGCCATGCTGAACTGTGAGTCAGTTAAACCTCTTTCCTTTATAAATTACCCAGTCTCAAGTATGTATTTATTAGCAGCGTGAGAATGGACTAATACAATGATCAAGTTTCATACCAGGAATGCAGGGATGGTTTAACATACCCAAGTCAACAAATATGATACATCACATAAACAGAATTTTTTTAATAATATGGTCATATCAATAGAAGCAGAAAAAGCATTTGACAACATCCAGCATCTCTTTATGATTAAAACCCTCAGCAAAATCAGCACAGAAGGAAGATACCTCAAGGTAATAAAAGCCATCTATGATAAACCCACAGCAAATATTATACTGAACAGGGAAAAATTGAAAGCATTCCCCCTGAGAACTGGAGCAAAACAAGGATGCCCACTTTAACCACTTCTATTCAACATATTACTAGAAATCCTTGCCAGAGCCAGACGAGAGAAAGAAATAAAGGGCATCCAAATTGGTAAAGAGGAAGTCAAACTGTTGCTGTTAGCCAATGATATGATTGTATACCTAGAAAACCCTAAAGACTCATTCAAAAAGCTCCTAGATCTGATAAATGAATTCAGTAAAGTCTCAGGCTACAAAATCAATGTACACATCTCAGTAGAACTACTATACACCAACAATGATCAAGCTGAGAAATAAATCAAGAACTCAATCCCCTTTACAACAGCTGCAAAAATAAAATAAAATACTTAGGAATATACCTAATCAAGGAGGTGAAAGATCTCTACAAGGAAAACTACAAAACACTACTAAAAGAAATCATTGACGACACAAACAAATGGGAAAACATCCCATGCTCATAGATGGGTAGAATCAATATTGTGAAAACGACCATACTTCCATAAGTAATATGCAGATTCAATGTAATTCCCAGCAAAGTACCATCATCATTCCTCACAGAACTAGAAAAATCATTCCTAAAATTCATATGGAACCAAAAAAGACCCCACATAGCTGAAGAAAGACTAAGCAAAAAGAAAAAATTTGGAGACATCACATTACCTGACTTCAAACTATACTACAAGCCTACAGTTATCAAAACAGCACCGTACTGGTATAAAAATAGGCATGTAAACCAATGGAACAGAATAGAGAACCCAGAAATAAAGCCAAATACTTACAGCCAACTGATCTTCGACAAAACAAACAAAAACATAAAGTGGGGAAAGGACACCCTATTCAACAAATGATGCTGGGATAACTGGCAAGCCACGTGTAGAAGAGTAAAACCGGATCCTCATCTCTCACCTTATATAAAAATCAACTCAAGATAGATCAAAGAGCCAAATCTAAGACCTGAAACCATAAAAATTCCAGAAGACAACATTGGTAAAACTCTTCTAGACATTGGCTTAGCCAAAGAGTTCATGACCAAGAACTCAAAAGCAAATGCAACTACAACAAAAAAATTGATGGGACCTAATTAAAGTAAAAAGCTTCTGCACAGCAAAAGAAATAATCAGCAGAGTAAACGGACAACCCACAGAGTGGGAGAAAATATTCACAAACTATGCATCCAACAAAGAACTAATATCAAAAACTCAAGTCAGCAAGAAAAAAAACAAAGAATCCCATCAGAAGGTGACCTAAGAACATGAATAGACAATTCCCAAAAGAAGACACACAAGTGGCCAGCAAACATATGAAAAAATGCTTAACATCATTAATTATCAGGTAAATGCAAATTAAGATCACAATGAGATACCACCTTACTCCTGCAAGAATGGCAATAATTTAAAAATCAAAAAATAATAGATGTTGATATGGATGTGGTGAGAAAAGAACACTTTTACACTGCTGGTGGGAATGTAAACTAGTACAACCACTATGGAAAACAGTATAGAGAGTTCTTAAAGAACTAAAAGTAGAACTACCATTTGACCCAGCAATCCCACTACTGGGTATCTACCCAGAAGAAAAGAAGTCATTATATGAAAAAGACACTTGCACACATGTTTATAGCAGCACAATTCACAATTGCAAAAATGTGGAACCAGCCTAAGTGCCCATCAGCCAATGAGTGGATAAAGAAAATATGGTAAATATACCTCATGGAATACTACTCAGCCATAAAAAGGAATGAAATAATGGCATTCTCGGCAACTTGGATGGAGTTGGAAACCATTATTCTAAATGAAGTAATTCAGGAATGGAAAACCAAATATTGTATGTTCTCACTTATAAGTGGGAGCTAAACTATGAGGACACAAAGGCATAAGAATGATATAATGGACTTTGGGGACATGGGGGGAAAGGAGTGCAAAGGATAAAAGACTAGCATTGGGTACAGGGTACACTGCTCAGGTGACAGGTGGACCAAAATCTCAGTAATTCCTACTAAAAAATCTTATCCAAATAACCAAAAACCACCCATTCTCCAAAAACTACTGAAATAAATAAAATAAAATAAATCCATGAAATAGTAAAAAAAAAAAAAAAATGCAGACATGTCAGCCCCCATCCCCAGAGCTTCTGATTCAGTAGGTCTGACGTGGGCCCAAGGTATCCACATTTTGGGCCATGCATTGGGACCTACTACCCTAAGATCTTGCTCTCAAGTTCAGTATCTAGTGAAGCATTATTTTCTGAATGAATCTTTTCAATAATATCTAAATAAAGATACAGTATCATAAAAGCCTCTTCTCCCAAACACTAAAAATTCTGTTAAAATCTCCAGATACAATTATGACAGCAAGGGCCCCTGATGTTTCCAGGTGGCCTGGGATGACTACTGAGGTTTGTACACAAAGAAACAGCCTCCCTCTGCTAGGGAAGGTCAAGTCCCCTCCCCCTGCACTGGCTGGCTAACAGCCAACAGGCCCAGTGACCCTACTCAATAATGGAAATCTCTCATTCATTTCCCCCTACCTTTTCCCTGAAGTTTTCTCCCTTTTTATTCTCCTCTTCATTTCCTGTCCCTCTTCTCTTTATCCAGTAATAATGAGAATAGCTACTGTTTATGGAGCATCTATTTCATGGGCACCACACTAAGAATGTGACAGACTCCATCTCATTTAGTCCCCATAGTTGCTAATGATTTTAACCTCATTTTCCAGATGAGAGAAAAATGTCACCTTGCTCAGGGTCACACAGCCAGTGCCTGGCAAGCTATGCCCTAACCCCAAAAGTCCTCATCCTCAAAGCCCATTCCTTTGTCCCCTGTACTCTTCTTTCTTTTCCAGCCCTTCTATGTCCTCTCTTCCACTTTATCTTGTTTTTGTGTCTCTTCTCACCCTTTCATCCCCTCTCTACCAGTCTTGGAACTGAATTCACTGCTGTAGGTAACAGTGCCAGCTCAGAGCTTAGACTTACAGGTGCTTTTAACACAATAACATGAGACAAAGAAGAAATCCCCATGTGGAAAACTTGAAGAGTTTTGGCTCGTAGGCATGATTCCAACTCTCCTATAGGGTCAAGTACTCAGTACTATTCCAAGTGATACTGGAGACCAAGAATGCTCCATAGAACTAAAAATTGACATGATACTCATTTGCTTAACCCACATGTTTTAAGCGCTATATATTTCACCCAGGTCCTAAGCAGGCTGTCTACCTGTCTTCCACACCAAGAGCCACTGAGGCCTGCACGTACTAGATAGATGCTCCTCAAATATCTATGGAGTATACTAATGCATGAATGCATGAGTGGAATGTGTGCCAGGTTCTATGCTACATACCATAGATGAAGCAAAAATATACATAAGTGTTCTCTTCCTGTAGCAGAAGAAGGAGGGTGTAGACAGGAGCAGGGACAGGGGTTGGGGAGAGAGACAGGAACAGGGACAGGAGCTGGATGGGGTTGGAGTAAAAAGGAGAAAGAGGAGGAAACAGAGTGGGAGACAGGACAAGGGGCCAGGGCAGGTGGGAGAGAAACAAAAGCAAAGAACATTACACCGAAAAGGTTGAATTAAGAACCACAGAGACCCAAGCCAAGGATATTTCATATACAAAGCATTCCATGTATTCAGTCCTGTCCATTTACAGTTAAGGAAACTGAGGCCTAGAAGGAGACAGCATTTACTTGCACAGGTAGGTGGAAACAATGGCAGGATGAGAAGGACTCAGGAAATCTGACTTCAAGGCCGTTGCCCATGATACCAGGCAGAGAACTATGTGGTAGTTTTCTGCATGTGTTCATTCTGAAGCCTGTAGTTCCTGCTCCCCAGGTCTTCGGAGCACAGTTGAGTGAGAGCAACAATGACAGGGCAAATCTGATGTGTGTATCATCTATGGAGTCAGCCAGGTATGTGGTAGCCTAGGTTTTGTGTGAGTGTCTATGCCATGGGTCAGGGTGAAGAGCCTGTGTCCTTTGGACATTTGTGGCCCCAGAACAGAGACAAGTAAAAAGCCAGGGATTGGAGATCCTCCAAGGTTTTGACTGGATCTTCTCCAACACTCTCATCCTTCCCAAACTGAAGACCTGTCCCTATCAGCCTGGCCTAGGGACTTGTTTCCTGCTTGCTAATCCTTGAGTGTTCAGCAAGGGTCTCATCTGCAATTGGTACACTTATTTGATACCAGGAAGAGCAGCCTAGGTAACAAGATCCAGCAACAGAAGTTCAGGGCCTGAATTCTCCCCCAGCAGCTTGCCTTGACCAAATTAGTGTGGCATATAGGACATTTGGCAGAAGAGTTTCCCATCAGCTCTCATGCCAAGAAGTCAAGGCCATGCTGAGCAGAACATCCCTCAGCTTCCGTCTACAGAAGTTAGGTTTCCTTTAAGTACTGGCTAACAACCCAGGGTGGTTAGAGCCCAGACTCAAATAAAGCTGGTTAGAATTCTAGCAATCACTGCCTTGGAGAAGTTAAAGTCTTGCTGGCTATAAGTGGAGCTCCCAGACAGTTCAAGAATTCCTGTTTCTGGGAAGCCCTAGGAAATATGGGCCAGAGATATGTGCACATGAAGCATTCAGAATGTGTGTAAGCATACAATTGTTCTTCCAAGTAGCAACAGTTACTGTATATCACATTGGAGGGGAAAAGTCTACCAAATGCAAAGATTTCTCTGTGAACTGAAAGCAGATTTAGAATAAATACTGAGCAGCCTAGCTAGGAACAGAGGTAAGCTCATGAACAGTTTAAGACTTTCGTCTGGAAAGTAAATTTATGGAATCTAAACTTAGCTTAGCTAAGGGTAGGTACTCCCCAGATAACGTTGAAGAACCAATTCATGACAGCATAATGCAAAGATAACTTCATATTCAAGACCCGCTTATAGGACTTTGGGCAAATCATTGATTCCCCTAATCCACTTTCAAAATCTCTGTAGAGGGGATGATCACCCTGTCCCTTAAATCTTAAAGCTCACTACAACCACAGGAAAATGTAACATAAACTATTTTAGCATGAACAGTGAATGCCACTTACATGTTGACATCATGTATTTTTTAATTGACCCTAAGGGGAGACTTTTTTGGTGGTGGTGTTATCCACAGCCTTATCCCCACCTAAAGACAAACCTCCTTGCCATAGCCTTTGCTGGGGGGCAGCTGCATTCCATACCCATGACCCCCATTACCTTCTTCCAGTGACTCTGGTTGAACCAGGGTGACACATATGTCTCAAGACAGCCAATTCATGAGCTGGTTCATCCCTCAAATTCTCATGGGAATAAAATCTCTGGCCAGGGAATTTGAAAGAGGGAAGGAAGGGAGGATGATCAAGCCATGAGAAGAAGAAACATAACACGGCAGAAACCATAAGCAGGACTGAGGTGAAGACAAAGGTGTGGAAGGTTTGGAACACAGTAATGGGAGGGAATACATTCAAAGCAGAAGTAGGGAGGTCTTATTTGAGTTAATGGTAAAGCACCAGACTGCAGATCCACAAACTCCTACTGCTGACATCCCTGCAAATATCTTTAATCTGGGTCCTGTCTCCAAGAAGCAAGATTAGACCATGGTTTTTTTTTTACTGCATTCCTATGAAATCCCTGTTTTCTTTATTGCCACCTATCTCCTTTCCTAAGTGAGTTTCTGTGCATCACTGTCTCATGCAACCAAAAGAACTTAATGCATGTGACGTTAAACATCTGAATGTGTGAGAGTCTGGGCAGATATTAATGTGACAAGTATCAAGAGGGGTCTATCCCCAGTAATGACTTCCAAGACCCCTTCAAAACCTAGCCATTTGTCATTGAGTCTTCACAACTTCAAGCAAGATAAAAATCTTAAAAATCCTCACCCTTCAACTTCCTCCCACACAGTGGGATGGACTTGTCTGAGGAGCTTGGGCATGAACACCTCTAAGAGAAGAGGTACTGATTTGCATATTGGTTATACCCGAGCTTCGACTTATTCCCTTTTCTTCAAAATGTATCATGCCCTTTTAAAAAAAATAATCAAGGGAAGGGGCCTTTAATGATCTCTATTTTCTTCTCTTAGTTTAATGCAGGCAGCAAGGGAGATGAGAATTCATGGACTAAGCAATTTGCTGGAGTGGCTGTTAAAGTGATGTGTGGAGGGAGAGCAGCAAAACCTGCTTAATGCTCAGAAACACCTGCTGGGAAATATTTTTTCTGCATGGGTTGCAAACAGCATTAAAACAATTTTCTTGCCTTTAACAAAAGAGGAGGGGGTGGAAGGGGCAGCCATGTTTCTATGGGTTAGCTTCATGGAACAGAACTGGAGAGAATTAAGAGATAAGCAAGACGCTGGTAATGAAGGCAGGGGGTCTTCAGCTAACTTTGGGCAGAGAGCTTTGCTGAGTTGACCCTTGTTCTGCAGTTCTGAAGGGAATTGCTGGCTCAGGCCATGAATTCCCACTCGGCTGCCCTCATTTCAGAGTCTTAGGGGATTTCAGAGTGCCCTCTCAGCCTCAAATCCTCTCTATAGCTCAGTATGGCAAAAGCATTTGATTGAGTGCAGAGGGTAAGGAAAAGGCATTTCCAGCTCCCCTGCTCTCTGGGGAGGTCAAGAGCTGACACACCCCTTCTGTCTACCCCGTTGGCCCTACTTCAGGTTATGATCATTTTTCCACGGAATTATTCCAATGGCCCCCTAACTGGTCTCTCCAACTCCAGTTTCTCCCTTCTTCCATCAGTCCTCCAAACTGGCACCATAACTATTTAAAATGAATCTTATCCTATCTGGCCAAGGGTCAAAAACTTCTATGGTTTCCTTTTCGCCATAGAATTAAGTCCTAACCTTTCAACACTGCAACCCAGGCTCTCCACATCTGACTCCAAGCTACCAATCCATCTGTATTTATTTTTTTTTTTTTTTTGAGACATGGTCTCACTCTGTTACCCAGGCTGAAGTGCAGTGGCATGATCATGGCTCACTACAGCCTCAACCTCCCAGGCTCAAGTGATCCTCCCACCTCAGCCTCCCAAGTAGCTGGGACCTCTGGCATGTGCCACCATGCCAAGCTAATTTTTTTTTTTATTTTTGTAAAGATGGGATCTCTCTATGTTGCCCAGGCTAGTCTCAAACTCTTCGACTCAAGCAATCCTCCCACCTTGGCCTCTCAAAGTGCTGAGATTACAGGTGTGAGCCACCATGACTGGCCACCAATCCATCTTAAATCTTTCACCATTAATCTGTGCTCTACTGCTCATGATTCCCTAAGCCCTCTTTCGGGTTCTCTTCCTCTATGCCTTTGTTCTTGCTATTGGCTCTCCCAGGATTGCCTTTCCCTACCTAGAGGACTCTAAATGTCAGGCCCTAAGAAACAGAAAAGGTAATGATATCATGGGCATAAATAGAATGTTTAGAAAGGAAAGTGACAAATTCAAGTTCGCATAATGTTAGGTTTGAGGTGTTATTGGGGCTTCCCCCAAACATTCAGGGACTGGAAAAATATTTAACAGATCCAAGAAGGAGAGTCAAAGCCAGTGGGATAGATTTAGGATGCATTGTCTAGAAGATAATAAACAGCTAAACCATGAATTATTTTGTTTGCTAAGGGAATGGGTGCTTTTAAGATTATTTCTATCTCCTCCAGATTATTTCTATCTCCAATCTGAGATTCTTTTTTGTAAGTCTCTTGTTTCATATATTTTTCTTTTCAAAATTTCATCAGGCTAATTCAGACCTCAGAAGAACCTGAATAATTAATCATTGATTGATGAAGAAGACGTGATGGATGGGCTGCCATGGTGATGAAACATTTCACAAATTATGCCAAAACTCATATTCTGAGATGAACTCCTCCTTTGGGGGCACTGTTTAGGGTGTTACACACAGATGCCCCTGGAGCAGTAAATTAGATTTTGCTTTGTATCTGTTCCCCAGAACAGAGCTTTGAAATTTCCTCCTCCCCAAATTGCCATCATCATCTCAGTAGAAATAAGTAAAAGCTAAATAGCTTTCATGAACACATATGCAAGCTGGGAAGTGTTCCTTAGGTTTCTCATCTTTAAAATACACAGAGGGGTTGTGTCAGTCCTAATAGACAAGCTTATGGTAAGGTAACAAACGACCCCAAAAAGCTCAGTGATTCACAACAACAAACTTTTATTTCTCACTTACGCTACATATTTAGCAGTGGTTGGCATCTGCTTTGTTCTACAGAATTTTATTTGGAGACTGAGGCTGACAGAGCAACCTTTATCTGAGACATGCTTGTTTTCATGGCAGAGAGGGAAAAAATGTGAATCACACAATGGCTCTTAAAAATTTCTGAAAGAGATGTATATTCCTTCTATAGGAGGGACAGCTAATAATGTAATTAATAATGCAATCTACCTGCAAGGGAAAATATCATACATGCCAGATTGTCCTCTGATCTCTGCACAGTTTAAGGATATTCACTTAAATTGGTAGCCACAAACTTAAATACTTTTAGGAGTCAGGCAGATCACATCAATCTGTGAGTCCGCCAGAAGGAAAAGACAATAGGGAGTAGTGAGGCCTAAGGCAAATGGAAAAGAACATACCCTGACCAGAACATTCAAACACAATTTATAAAAATAGCCCAAACAAATCATGTTTGCGGACTAGTTTATGACTGTTAACTAAATCTGGAATGATTTTTTTCTTTTTGAGGGGGACGGAGTCTCCAGGCTCAGGCTGGAGTGCAGTGGCATGATCTCGGCTCACTGAAACCTCTGCCTCCCAGGTTCAAGCAATTATCCTGCCTAAGCTCCCCGAGTAGCTGGGATTACAAGAACACACCACCATGAACAGCTAATTTTTGTATTTTTGCAGAGACGGGGTTTCACCATGTTGGCCAGGCTGGTCTCGAACTCCTGACCTCAAGTGATCTGCCCATTTTGGCCTCCCAAAGTGCTGGGATTATAGGCGTGAGCCACCGTGCCCAGCCTGGGATCATTTTTTCTGGGAGAAGAGTATATATAATTTGATGAAGAAAAAATAACTTACTTATTACATGCTTGTTATATTTTAATACTAGGCTAAATACCGCTGTACAAATACTAACTTGACTCTCCATATAATCCAGGGTTACCTGCCCTTTGATGTTTAAATAAAACTGACCCAAGACCTCTATCCCATATCATACAGTGAAAATTATGACCTCCTCAAGATTTCTGTGAGGACTTCAGGTCTAGTTCTCATTTGCGCTTCTGCTTCGAAGAACGCTCAACCAACCTCATTAGCATCTCACTTCCAGGGGTTCTTCTCTCTGCCACAGTTGGTCACAAGCAGGAAATTCAGCCTCCTATCTTTGGCTTTCCCCATAACCACTCATATAACATGTGACTGAAGGTTTGGCCTGACGCAAAGGGGGGATTACATCACAGCAACACAAATAAAACATCAGACTCTCTTCTCCCTAAATGCCATCTTGCCCACATGGTCACTGTTCCCCTACCTCTACCCTAGCCATTACCCAGTCCCATTCACCCCATCTCCCACTCCCCTCACTTCTCTCCCCACCCCTAAATCTATGCATTTCTTATACAGAATAGTTAACTATCCCTTTGCTTTGCTGTCTCATTCCAGAATAGGAAAACAGGATCTACCTCCCATACTCCCAGAGTCATCTTCTGATCTTTTTCTAAACAAAGTAATTTCCCTCCCCAAGAGGAACTCTGGGACCGGTTGTTACAAGAAAAATCTACTTACAATAACCTTTTGAAGTAGGTTTTATTGTTATAAAGTCTATTATGTTACTTTATTTATTCATTTATAAAATGAGAACAATAAAGTCTACTTCAAGTAGCATTTTTTTCTTGATGTTAACCATGCACCCCACCCGACCCAGGTCAGTCATGACCTATGGAGCATCTTACAGGAGGAGAGATTTGTTCCTCTTTATCGTAGCACAATAGCAGGCAAAGTAGCAGGCAGCCAATATGGCAGACATATATGAATACTGAAGAGTTCTGGAAAAGCCTTTCTTCCTCTACAACTCCCCTTGAGGAAGCTGTTTTCCCCTTTTTCAAGAATAAGCTGTCACTCTGAACTGATCTGAAAAGGACTTCTTAACCTGAGTAAAGTGTACTGCTTTGGAGTCAAAGTTAGTCCCTCACCACCTTCTTAGAAAAGCCGACATTAATCAGAACTATACCTGCCTGGAAAGCCCAAGAAAAGTGATACAGGGGCACTGTGGCCATTGATGACAGCAGGTTGCATTAGGACCCAGCACCCTCAACTCAGAAAGCCACATAAAGATACTCTGAGATACACAGCTAGGTCCCCAGTCCAGCCCTCTGGGCAGAAGCCCTGGCAGGAATCTGGCCTGACCAATACTATCTCATCTCAGAATTCATGTTTACTGCCTCTTTCCCCTATATTCAGCAGTCCCCAAAAGTTGTTACCATGAACTTAAATCTTGCACATTCGTTTGTTTATAAAACAAATATTTAAGGTGCACCTACACCACACAGGATCTATTCTAAGCACTTGGGAAATTGTGAAAACAGAAAGGTCTCTGCCCTTAGGAAGTTCACATTCTAGTGAACAGAGAAAGATAACAGAAAATAAACATAAACTATATAGAATATTAGGGGGTGACAGGTGCTATAGAATAAGAAAAATAGGTCAAGGAAAAGCTGCCCTTATTCTATCTTCTCTGTAGGAAAACATCAGAAGTACATGGGTTAGCCCAGGGTTTCTAAACCTCAGCACTAATTGACTGGGGCTGGATCTGTGCTGTGGAGGGCCGTCCTGTGCATCGTAGTATGTTTAGCAGCATGCCTGGCTTCTGCCCACTAGGTGCCATTAGCACACCCCTTCCCTAAGTTGTGACAACCAAAACTGTCTCCAGACATTGCCAAATGTCTCTGGGAGGGCACAGTCACCTCCAGTTGAGGACCACTGGGCTAGAGACACATTACTCATGTACTCAAAGACAAGGGTAGACCCTCACATCCAGTCTCTTTTACTCACCCAGGTTTGCAAGCTGGCTTGCAATTGACCTTGGTCCAATTTCTCAACTTCTCTGAACATCTCTCTCCCTATTTGTAAAATAGCAGTGTTTATCTCAGCTATGGGTTGCCAGAATTAAATAACATGATGTAGGTAAGTCGCCTGGTACACATTGCCAGTGGAGAATGTAAAGATTTATTAGCCTTTCCAGCTCAAAATTAACAACAAGTAGCTCACTTTTTCCGCCTGGTAATCTTCTGATGAAGATAAGCAGGCATTATTATTTTGTAAATCTAGATGCTAATAGGTTAGGCAGTGTGTCCAAACTCACACAATTAGAAAGTAGCAGAGTTAAAACAAACCAACCAATCTTGAATCCTCTAAATCCCAATTCTATACACCTTCCCCCTGAATGCACCACCGCCCCAATTTTAACTTGCTTGCAACCATTTAAGAACATGCCTGCTCTGCACAGGAAGGCACAAATGTAAAGGAAAACATTTGGATCACAAAGGTTGTTTTGGAAAATTGTTCAAATTCACATGCAACTCTGATTGGTACACTTTGGTGTACCTCCCCAGAAAACTCCAGAAGGAAAAGTCACTGTCTAGCAGGCCCCAGCCTGCCCACTTCCAGCATTGTTACATGTAAGCCCAGATCACAGGGCATCCTGTGAGGAGCCTTTTCTCTTCACACTGAAAGTCTCTGAGGCAGAGCTGATGGCACCATATATCCAGACTTTCCTCACTGGACCCCAGGATCTCAGAAGCTCGGATGCAAACAGGATTCAAATAACCAAATGAATTGAGGAGGGGAAAATAAAGGAGAAAGACTGGATTAGACTATAGCCCATGGCTTTGGACAAGCACGTGCATCCTCCTGTTGCCATTTTAACAAGACCGGAGTCCTCTCAGAACACTAATTCCTCCCTGGATCACTGCTTCCCAGAGCAATAACATAAATCCATCTAACATTTAAGCAAAAGGATATTGAGCTTGGCAGATCAGTACAGTGTATATTTGCCTCCTGGAGTGATAAGGTCACCCATTCAAGACCCACTAGGAAAGGTGGATAGAAATGCCGAGAGCCACACTGTGAGGTGGCAAGGCCTAATACAGAGAATGGAGATAAACTTCGAAGAAACAAAGAATAAATGGGGGGAATCAAGCCAGTGTCTTCTAGGAAGCCCAAGCATGAGGTGTCCAGCTTTCTGTCATTAAGAAATGCAAAAAGTTAAAAACAGGTTAAAATGCATTCTGGCTTTACAGGGATATAAAAAGGAGCATTCTTGGCCAGGTGCAGTGGCTCACACCTCTAACCCCAGCACTTTGGGAGGCAGAGGTGGGAAGATTTCTTGAGTCTGGGAGTTCAAGGCTAGCCCTGGCAACATAAAAAGACCCTCATCTCTACAAGAAATTTTAAAATTAGCCAGGTGTGGTAGTAGGTGCTTGTGTTCCCAGCTACTCAGGAGCCTGAGGTGGGAGGATCACTTGAGCCCAGAAGGTCAAGGCTGCAGTTAGCCATGGTCAAGCCATTGTACTCCAGCCTGGGTGACAGAGCAAGACCATGTCTCAATAAAAGGGAGCATGGGAGTGGCATTCTTATGTCCAGAACACCCAAAGAGGCATGTTTTCAGCTCTAAAATACTGATGTTCAACTGCTCAGACATGATCAAGTGATTTTTGCAATTCACAGCCTCCTGAACCTAACTTGCACCCAACTTTTAAGACACAGCAACCAAGTTTTCATCATTGCAATGTGTCCTGGAAGCTAATCAAAACCATTCAAAGAACATATGAGAAAACAGACATCTTCCCATGTTGTTAGGAATATAAATTGATACCACATTTTTAGAGGGCAAGAGAACAACATCTACCAAAATTTAAAATGAACATAGCATTTCATTTGGAAATTTCACTTGGGAATTTATCCAAATGATACAGTCATACGTGGGCAAACTTGTATGTACAAGTATATTCATTGCAAAAAAAAAGAATATTCTAAATGTACATCCAAAGGAATCTGATTAAAATGTGGCAATGAAACACGAAGCAGCCATTGAAAAGAATAAGGCGAATCTACTGGTTCTATGGCATAACAGATAACCTCCAAACTACATTGTTAAATGAAAAAAAAGCAAAGACAGTATTATAGTATGCTATTATTTATGTAAGAAAAAAACAAAAATAAGATGTGTGTTTATACTATATATGTAGTGGATGCATATATGCACACACATAGACACACATACATGCATATCCCCATATATGCATGTATCCATGCAATACCTCTAAAAGGATACATAAAGGTATACAAGGATACACAGGGTAACAATAGCTGCCTTCCAAGAAGGAAAAATTTCTTTTAGACTATTTGAATATTTAACTGTTTGCAGATATCATGATAGACAGAAAGAGAGAGAGAGAATATTTTAATGTAGATTATTTTACAGGTTTCATTAGCAGGGTGGCCTGCAGAGGCCCATCAAATCCATATATCCAAGCAATCTCCAATCCATCTGGAAGGTATAACAGGGATCAAGGAAGAACCCTTAAAATAAATAATCTTAACCTACAATCATCTGTGTACACAGGGTACAATTTTGCCCATTACCTACTGTTTTTTCCCCATTCTAAGGCATATTAATCCTCACACCTCAACACCCTTTTGAGCCACCTTGGCATACCATTGGTTTTCAGTGAAAACTGATTTTCCAATTAGCCTAAGAAAATATGATTTGGAAAGGTAAATCTACTAACCTAAGACATTTTCAAGTCCCAAACAAATGGTATGTAGGAGCTGATGGTGTGCCTTAGAAACCAGCTGGGGGTGGTGGGTCGGGAAGGGCAAACCACAAGAGCATACTTTCTAGTGGCAAGGAAAGAAGACTCATAGGTTGGGGTACAGCTTTGGGTAGGAAATCTTCCCTTGCTCCCATCCACCCGGAGGGCTCTCATCATGCTCTCCAGCACATCACCTACCATGCTGTATCACAGTTGCCCATTTACACATCTGCCCCTCACACTAGACCATGAACCACTTAAGTTCAGGGACCATGTCATCATTGCTCCCCCAGACATTCACACATGCGGCCAATAGAAGCTGCTTCATCAACATTTACTGCATGGACAGCAGCAGTTTCCCAGCAACCCCTTCAGTGCTCATCAAGCTCATTCTGGGTGCTTGCAACCTTTGTACAGTACTGAATGTTATGTGTCTTTGTGTGTCTAGTATGGGGGTAAAAATGATAGAAAACACAGGCAAGAGTTTGAATCATTATAGCTGCATGACCTCAGGTAAGTTATTTCATCTCCTGGAACTGTATTGTTATGTATGAAACAGAGTAATATCACCTACCTTGCCAGACTGAGGTGAGAAGTAGGTGAACGTACGGGTGCAGCCAGTGCTGATCATAAATCCCAGAAGACACAGCCCCTAACATCTAAAGTCCCTAATGTCTAAAATCCCAAATGTTGAAATCCTAAAAGCTGAACTCTTGGGAAGGGATTGGTGTGCTTTCAGTGGTATACAGGATAGTTGCGTCATGTTGCTTGCATCATGTTAGGTGGAACTATTGCCTTTTTATCATCTTCATTCAAATTTAGTGGAAAATTCAGATGAGTGGATTGGTCAGGCGATACAGCAATGACAGAAACTTCGGTTTAAAAATGCATCTGAGTACATGGGCATTTTTTCCAATAAATGAAAATCCAGGAGATGTTAATGAATTAAAGTTACATTTGCTTAAAGAAGCCAGCAAAGTTACTGACTTTGGGTTGCAAAATAATTATGTGCAGGATACTTATGCAATGGTGTTGCTATTCAGTCACCAGTATTATTTCCACCAAATCTGTGGTCCATATATCAGTGTATGCAGAAAGAATTTCCACGTCCTCAAAACGACACAGAAGCATGGCACAAAAAAATGGAAACATTTAATAGGAAATACTCATAGCTGTGTATATCAAATCATAAAAGAATTTCAAAAAGAAAGGGTCCACGTACAAAGTGAATGTGAACATGTTCTCCAAGGAAAGCCATGCTCCAAAAGAAAAAAAAAATAAGCAGCTATTTATTTCTATGCAAGACTTCAAAGAATAGTTAGGTCATGAAAGTCAGGATTTGAAACTTTAGGGATTTTGATCTTTCAAATTTCAACATTCGGGATTATGACCCTAATCCAGATGCAGCTGGTTTTGCACACGGTAGCCACTGTATATATGGTAACTGTTACTATCTTTTTCTTTATCTTCCACATCTAAAAGATGAGCTTCTTTAGAGTAGATATTTTCTTTTTCCGTGCCATTCTCCGCTTGCTTACTCTGGTAACTTGTACACACAAAGTGCTCAACAAATGAGAGGAAATGTACACTTTGGATGCTATCAGATATGGGTGGGAATCCAGGCTTTATCTGACTACTTAGCTAAGTACTCCTGAGCAGATTACTTCATGTCTGAGTCTCAGCTTCTTATCTGTAAAATGGGTATATTCATGTTTATCTCATAGAGCCATGGTAGAGACTAAATGAGATAATACATTTAAGGTATGCAAAGCTTAACACAAATTGTCACTAAATGGTAGTGCTTATTATTACCTATAATAAAACAGAAAACCCTTTGCACACTGGAGCTTTAAAGCATAAATACAGTTTATGTCATTATTACTATTTCCCTTGGTGGTAGAGAGAGGAGAGGAGGCATGCAGAATGATGAGATGAATTCCACTGAAAATTTAAAAGTTGTATGGTAACTTGAAGGCACCCCAGCTTTGAGAAGCCATGAGCAGTTGCAGATGTGAGAAGAATGGTTTGTCCAAGTAACTACATCATTGTTTGCTATAAGCAGTCCAGCAGGACAGACCCTGGCAGGCTATATTGGAAGGTTACACAACTTCCCAGTAAACCAGGTATTATTTTCTCCGTTTTATAGATACAGAAACTGAGGTTGAATCATTTGACTAGGGAAACTAAAAAGTTGTAGAGCTTGACTTACATATGGGTCTTCTGCAAATTAGCCCAATGCTCTTCCTACTACATCATCTGCATTTGAAAAAAAAATGAAAGAATGATAATAATATACCCATATAATAATAATGAATGACATTTCTCAAAATATAATTTCAAGAAGTTAAAAACACGACTTTCATACAAATATAGAATTGAACATGAGGAAACTAGCAGAGCAGCACAACTGATTCAAAGAGTATTTGAGGGAAAGAGAATTACAGAAACAGGAAAGATATGCCAAAAATAAATTTGCTAAGATTGTTAGGTTAGACTCTTAAGGGACTCTTCTGCAGTGGACAGAGACCATTTGCATCTCTACTAGACACAAATGTACAAGTTAACACGTTACTTCATGGAGTCTCAGTCTAATCAACAATAAATAACAAGACAAAGTTACATGTCCTAGAATGAACTAATCCTTGGTAGCCAGCTAGACCATGCTTCAACACATCATTGGAAGGGCATGATAGTCATCCTCTTCCAGGTTTGAATAATTTTTTAAGCATATTTATTAAGTTAACTTACTATATGGAAGGCATTTTTAGCACTTTATGTATACTTATTCATGGGATCCTAGCCACAACCGCGTGAGGTATCTGCTATGATTTTCCCATTTTTTTATTATACTTTAAGTTCTAGGGTACATGTGCACAACGTGCAGGTTTGTTACATATGTATACATGTGCCATGTTGGTTTGCTGCACCCATTAACTCATCATTTACATTAGGTATTTCTCCTAATGCTATCCCTCCCCGACACCCCCACCCCACAACAGGCCCCAGTGTGTGATGTTCCCTGCCCTGTATCCAAGTGTTCTCATTGTTCAATTCCCAACTATGAGTAAGAACATGCAGTGTTTGGTTTTCTGTCCTTGCGATAGTTTGCTCAGAATGATGGTTTCCAGCTTCATCCATGTCCCTGCAAAGGACATGAACTCATCATTTTTTATGGCTGCATAGTACTCCATGGTGTATATGTGCCACATTTTCTTAATCCAGTCTATCATTGTTGGACATTTGGGTTGGTTCCAAGTCTTTGCTATTGTGTATAGTGCTGCAATAAACATACGTCTGCATGTGTCTTTATACTAGCATGATTTATAATCTTTTGGGTATATACCCAGTAATGGGATGGCTGGGTCAAATGGTATTTCTAGCTCTAGATCCTTGAGGAATCGCCACACTGACTTCCACAATGGTTGAACTAGTTTACACTCCCATCAACAGTATAAAAGTGTTCTTATTTCTCCACATCCTCTCCAGCACCTGTTGTTTCCTGACTTTTTAATGATTGCCATTCTAACTCGTGTGAGATGGTATCTTGTTGTGGTTTTGATTTGCATTTCTCTGATGACCAGTGATGATGAGCATTTTTTCATGTGTCTGTTGGCTGCATAAATGTTGTCTTTTGAAAAGTGTCTTTTCATATCCTTTGCCCCCTTTTCAATGGGGTTGTTTGATTTTTTCTTGTAAATTTGTTTAAGTTCTTTGTAGATTCTGGATATTAGCCCTTTGTCAGATGGGTAGATTGCAAAAATTTTCTCTCATTCTGTAGGTTGCCTGTTCACTCTGATGATAGTTTCTTTTGCTGTGCAGAAGCTCTTTAGTTTAATTAGATCCCATTTGTCAATTTTGGCTTTTGTTGCCATTGCTTTTGGTGTTTTAGTCATGAAGTCCTTGGCCATGCCTATGTCCTGAATGGTATTGCCTAGGTTTTCTTCTAGGGTTTTTATGGTTTTAGGTCTAACATTTAAGTCTTTAATCCATCTTAAATTAATTTTTATATAAGATGTAAGGAAGGGATCCAGTTTCAGCTTTCTACATATGGCTAGCCAGTTTTCCCAGCACCATTTATTAAATAGGGAATCCTTTCCCCATTGCTTGTTTTTGTCAGGTTTGTCAAAGATCGGATAGTTGCAGATATGTGACATTATTTCTGAGGGCTCTGTCCTGTTCCGTTGGTCTATCTCTCTGGTTTGGTACCAGTACCATGCTGTTTTGGTTACTGTAGCCTTGTAGTATAGTTTGAGGTCAGGTAGCATGATGCCTCCAGCTTTGTTCTTTTTGCTTAGGATTGTCTTGATGATGCGGGCTCTTTTTTGGTTCCATATGAACTTTAAGGTAGTTTTTTCCAATTCTGTGAAGAAAGTCATTGGTAGCTTGATGGGGATGGCATTGAATCTATAAATTACCTTGGGCAGTACAGCCATTTTCACGATATTGATTCTTCCTATCCATGAGCATGGAATGTTCTTCCGTTTGTTTGTGTCCTCTTTTATTCCATTGAGCAGTGGTTTGTAGTTCTCCTTGAAGAGGTCCTTCACATCTCTTGTAAGTTGGATTCCTAGGTATTTTATTCTCTTTGAAGCAATTGTGAATGGGAGTTCACTCATGATTTGGCTCTCTGTTTGTCTGTTATTGGTGTATAAGAAAGCTTGTGATTTTTGCACATTGATTTTGTATCCTGAGACTTTGCTGAAGTTGCTTATCAGCTTAAGGAGATTTTGGGCTGAGACAATGGGGTTTTCTAAATATACAATCATGTCATCTGCAAACAGGGACGATTTGACTTCCTCTTTTCCTAATTGAATACCTTTTATTTCCTTCTCTTGCCTGATTGCCCTGGCCAAAACTTCCAACACTATGTTGAATAGGAGTGGTGAGAGAGGGCATCCCTCTCTTGTGCCAGTTTTCAAAGGGAATGCTTCCAGTGTTTGCCCATTCAGTATGATATTGGCTGTGGGCTTGTCATAAATAGCTCTTATTATTTTGAGATACATTCCATCAATACCTAGTTTATTGAGAGGTTTTAGCATGAAGCGTTGTTGAATTTTGTTGAAGGCCTTTTCTGCATCTATTGAGATAATCGTGTGGTTTTTGTCTGTAGTTCTGTTTATCTAATGGATTATGTTTATTGATTTGCGTATATTGAACCAGCCTTGCATCCCAGGGATGAAGCCGACTTGATTGTGGTGGATAAGCTTTTTGATGTGCTGCTGGATTCGGTTTGCCAGTATTTTATTGAGGATTTTTGCATTGATGTTCATCAGGGATATCGGTCTAAAATTCTCTTTTTTTGTTGTGTCTCTGCCAGGCTTTGGTATCAGGGTGATGCCGGCCTCATAAAATGAGTTAGGGAGGATCCCTTCTTTTTCTATTGATTGGAATAGTTTCGGAAGAAGCGGTGCCAGCTCCTCTTTGTACCTCTGGTAGAATTCGGCTGTGAATCCATCTGGTCCTGGACTTTTTTTGGTTAGTAGGCTATTAATTATTGCCTCAATTTCAGAGCCTGTTATTGGTCTATTCAGCAATTCAACTTCTTCCAAGTTTAGTCTTGGGAGGGTATAGGTGTCCAGGAATTTATCCATTTCTTCTAGATTTTCTAGTGTATTTGTGTAGAGGTGTTTATAGTATTCTCTGATGGTAGTTTGTATTTCTGTGGGATTGGTGGTGATATCCCCTTTATCATTTTTTATTGCATCTATTTGATTCTTCTCTCTTTTCTTCTTTATTAATCTTGCTAGTGGTCTATCAATTTTGTTGATCTTTTCAAAAAACCAGCTCCTGGACTCATTGATTTTTTTAAGGGATTTTTGTGTCTCTCTCTCCTTCAGTTCTGCTCTGTTCTGCTCTTATTTTTTACATATTAGAAAAAGTGAGGGCACAGATGGGTTAATTGACTTGCCTAAAGTCAAACGGATAGTAAGTGGTGTCACAGGGATTAGAACCCAGGCTTACAACAAAGCCCCCATTCTTAACATACCATTGTGCCTTACTAGGATAAAGTAATATGACAGTCTACGACGGCCGCAGGGATTGTATTTCATTACTGTCAAAACACCAGCACCTAGCTCAGTGTCAGACAGATGGGCAATCATACATGTTTGCAGGTTTGAATCTAGAGCTAGGACTAAAGTAAGCTATCCCTGAGACCATAAATTATTAAGTGCCACTATGTACCAGACACTGAGCTTGCTCATGAACTAACAATTTGAGAATTCAGTTGAGCTACTCAGAAGCTTAAAACTAGTAAGTGAGCGTAGGAGACATGGCCCTGCTCTCACAGAGCTCACAGCCCAAAGGGGAGAAAAGAAGTAAACAAGGATCAAGAGCACAACATGAGGCATACTGTGAATGGGAAAGTATGGGGTGGCATGGAGGACCATAATATGTAGGCTTAATGTGGTCCAAGAATCAGAATCCCTGAAGAATGATACTTGTCCATCTGTGACTGTTTAGTCCTTAGAAATCATCTGGACCTCTTGACCATCTACAAGTCTTCCTTCCTGGAAAACCAAAGAGGACAATGACATCTTTTCCATTTTAGGCCAAAGTCAAAGATTAGACTAGTGCCCATCTTACAAATACACTCATAGTTATAGTGCAGGAATTGGGATGGGTGGGGAGGATGGCAGAGGACTCATCAGCCTGGTGGACCTGCACCTTCTTATCAAGTTACCTAACAGTACTGTGCCATGGGAGATGCTCAAGTAATATTTGATAAATTCATTCATTTGAATGGATTAATTAATGACTGTTTTTACAAAGATTACATTAGGTGCAACCAAGTGAAATAATATGTCAAGTGTAAAAGACTACCTTGAAGTTAGTGCTTCTAGTTAGTGCTAAGTCTCTATGCTGTCACCCTGAAGTGGAGACAAGCATCAGTTGGCACTGGAAGTGTCAACCGATCCTGTGAAGTACCCTACTACTGCTGCTGACTCACCTAAAACTGTAGAGATTCAGCAAGGAAAGAATGGTGTCTTTCCAGGAAAAAGGATGGGAGAGCCATACTTTTAACAGTTCTGACTCATATCTCCTCCGGAGAAGGGAACCTCTTGCCAGCTATAAAGAAGAGAATGGAGACCATGGAAGTCACTGAGAAACAGTGAACCTGGCAGGGAAGAAGCCAATGACATATTTTATTCAATTAAAGCTGTCTCTGTTTATACAAGGCTTTATGGGCTTTAGCTAATGTAGCATGGGCCAAAATGTGTGGAGCTACTGATGCTCAGGAGTTAACCTAATGGGCCGATGCTGCCTACAATCAGCTGACACTAAGCCCAGACTTATTCTCTGCTCTTTCCCAGAATTTACATCATATAATTCTGTGCACACCTCAAAGCCAGAGAATTCCAAATGTGTCTTACACACTTGGGTATCCCGATATCCAAATACAGTGCTTAGAACATGGAAGGGACTCCATAAATGTTGATCCTCTCTTGGTCTATGGCCTCTGTGCACAGAGGTGGACTCCTTTGACCTGGAAGTTCCCGTTTAGCAACTGGGCAGAAAGGAACTGCGTGTTATGCCTCTCGGCTTAAAGAAGAGCTTTGGTTACCTCACTCTGGCAGAAAGTCAATGGGAAGCCATGTGATTTGTGGGGCCTGGCTTCATCGAGCAGAGATTGATGGCCAAGGGCAAGCTGGCCTCTGGGGCAAGGTGGCACTGGGCCAGTGAGCTCTTCTGGGAGGGTGCAGCGGATGAAGCTTGGCAATTTTTAATGCAGCTCTGGATTTTTTTCTAAAGGTAATATACTTCCAAAGCTTTGATCTTGGGTGTTTTCATTGCTGAGGTCTGCATTTTTATACATAGAGGACTCCAAGTTGGCTGGCCCTTAAGAGGAAATAGGATAGGATTCTGAGTCTCTTTTATCTTTTTTTTTTTAATTTTTGAGGTTAAACTAGATAAATCTAATTTTCAGGATATGCTCACGCAAAACTGATTGAAATAACAAAAGTGTGTGGAAATGTGTAAAGCCCAACTGATTTTTGTTATTTTCACATCAAACTGGGGTTTTCAAATCGGTCTATCTACCTACTGTGTGTGTATGGTAGAGGGAAAGGGTCTTTGTTTCAGGTTCCATACTTTTATGCAAATTAAATACCAAAACACCGTCTAGTCCATAGGCTGGCAAAGTACACCTGTTTTTGTAACGAAGTTTTATTGCAGCAGCCATGCTCATTCATATACGTGTTGTCTATGGCTGCTTTTGCACTACAGCAGCAGAACTGAGTAGTGTGACAAAGATAGTATGATCCGCAGAGCCTTAAATATTCACCATCTGGGCCTTTACAGAAAAACATTGTTGACCCCTGATCTTTCAACACATTTTGCATTCTTTCCAGGTGAACAATAAAGAAAACGTCCTTGGCACACTACTGCAGAAGCTTGAACAGAAACTTCTCTGCATACAATAAAGATAGTAGCATCAGAAATCCAATAATTTTGTAGCTATTTTTATTTTCCAATATTTTTATTTTTCTCTCACTCATGTTCTTGTGTAGCCTCTCAGCCTTTTACTCCATTGCAAGAGAAATATTTGTCAGTCTTCAGCTAAGATAACAGGTTTGAAAACCAGGCTGTGAAAGAGAGGGAATTTTCTCAATTCTTTAGCTTTCACTTAACATATCCAGTGTCAGGCCTGCTGCTCCACCAAAGTGAAAAAGACCCCCACTCCCATGTCCGATGGTCAGTTATACCAAAATAAAGAAACCACATTTTTTTGGATGTGGGAGAAACTCTATGACCCTGAGTAAAAAGAAACTGTATTGAAGGCATTCAGTCATCACTTTCTGGAACATAACTTCCAGTTAGTGCTAAGTCTCTATGCTGTCACTGCTTTAGATTCTGTAATCCCAGGCTAATTCTGGTGCCTGTTCAGTTACTCCCCAGGAACAAAAGTCATGTGTGGATGCAATACACAAAAGGAAATGGGAGAAGTGGTATTAAAAATCATCAGAATATATCAACAACAGAAAATGGAAAAGCCTACTCATCACCTAATAAACTCAGTTTATTTGTTCTTTGGTTCATTTCTTCATGTTTCTTCACTTAATAGATGTTTAACAAGCACCTAAAATATGTCAAGCATTGACCTAAACTCTGGGGACACGGAAGGTAACAGAACAGAGAAGTTCACTTAGACCATATGTTCTAATGTGAAGACAGATAATAAATAAGTAAATGAATGAAAATTGCAAATCATGATCATTGCTATGCAGGAAGTCACCAGAGTGAAATCAAGGTATAAAAGGGAGCCTACTTAGAATTCTCATTGCCTAGCACAGCACCTAGTACACAGAACGTGCACCTTTTTAAAAAAAAGTAATGGTCGAATGTAAAACCAAATATTAAAAATACTGTATTTGTTGTCACTTCTATATGGGCAGCTCAAGGCAACTTTGATTTGTAGAAAAGGACTAAAAGGAAGAGAGAAGAGGCCTAAGAGGCACTATCTTCCTCCAAGGAGTTTATGATAGACAGAACAACAAATTCTCCTTCAAGTGCATTTGCAATGATAAGGCATGTACTTTACCAATAGCTGTTTTGGCCAGCAAGTCTGTAAATCAGTGGTTAAAAGAACAGGATCTCAATCGGAGGATCTGGGTCCCTGACCAGATTCTGACACTCATTTGTTTTGTAACCTTGAGCAAGTTTTTAACTTGTCCAAACCTCAATGCCTCATCTTTAAACTGGGTATATAAACAGCACCTATTTCTTAGTATTATTACAAGGATTCAGTGAATTAAAATAAAAATTGCACTGAGCCCCGAATCTTGTAAATATTCAATAAATGATAGACTCACTTAGACTCCTCATGCCTGTCTTCTTATCGGTGTAATAAAGATAACAATACCTAAACTCACAGGGTTAGTGAGAGGATTAAATGAATTAATCCACATAAAGCACCTACAACATTACCTGGCACACAATAAGAGGTCAATAAATGTTAGCTTATTGTTAATCTGATTTAATTGCTGATGACTGTAAAATGGGAGGTGAATCATCCCATTTTAAAAGGAGAAATAATGAATTTGAGTCCTGGATGTCTGAGTAAATTCTGCAAAAGATTCAGATTAGCTGAGACAGACCCACCCAGACCATTGATTTTTCTGTAGTAATTTATTCATCGCTTGTCATAGAATTGTAGGGGATGAGGCATGGGAATTCAGTGCTACTTTAAGCATTTCAAAGGTTTCTATGTCTATCATGCACTAACCACTTCCCCCAAGTTTATTTATTCAAGTTACTTTTATTTTCCAGATCATACTCTTCATATTACTGTACTGTTTCCTCAGTTTCTACTATTGGATAGGGGCCAAGATTAGATCAATCATATATTGTCTTTTTCCCTTCATTCTGAGAGCTTACTTCTGCACTAGACTGTAACTTCCATGAAGGCAGGGATAATGTCTGTTTCAGTCTTGCGCTGTCCCCAATGTCTACAGGGTTTGGGCTGTGTATGTACAATAGGTGCAGAATTACAGGGTTGCAGAGAAGAAACAAGTAGTGAATAAGGGTCTTGTCTGTCCAGCATGAGTCCCTCTACCTTCTGATGGGGGCTGGACACACAACCCAGGCCAACCAATCATGGCAGAGCATGCAGGAATTGGTACAGGGATGGGCATATGATTTCAGCTCAGCCAATCGGCCTCCCTCCCATTTATCTGGCTAGTGCTGGTAGGAGGTTTCTTTTCCTCTCTGGTCAACCTATAAGGATAAAATCCTGAAGCTATCTGATGGCACATTTTCCGCTGCAAAGGGAAAGCCTTATCTGGAACAGAAGCAAGATGATGGCACACAGACAAGAGGAGGAGATGCTAAGGAGGAGTGAGTTTAGACAAGAGGAGGAGTGAGTTTAGACAAGTAAGCTAGCTCAAGTTCACTTTCCTTCCTTGTACACAAGAGTCTAAAAGGTTCCAAGAAGGGATTACCAAGTCCATTATTAACAATAAAAATGACAACATAACTTTCTTCTTGAGGGCTTACTCTGTGTGGCACACTCTATCAAGCATGTCTTTCTGATACAACTCCATGATGTAGGGGTTTGGGCCATAATCCCAAAAGACACAAAATCCTGAAACACCAAAATCCCAAATGTTGAAATCTTGAAAGACCAGAATCTCTCCAGCTTAAAGTTCTAAACATCACAATCCCAAAAGACCAAAATCCCATAAATATAATTCTGGAAAAAAATAATTTTAAAAAAATTATTTAAAAGATATTTATTTACATTTGTGAAGAGTACTTATTTGAGAAACATATAAAAACATGGCAGAACACTTTGTAGGCCTCTTTACACAGTAAGAGAGCCTATAATAACATAGGTATTTTGTGAGCATGAACATTCAGGTATACTAATGACAATTGCATGGGCATAAGAGTTATGAGCAGACAAATAGTATTCATAAAGAAATAAGTCAAAAAGCAAAAAGTATAAACTTGTATCACTATGGTTGGTAATTGCATGCACCCAGTTTTATACCTACAGTCATTTGAAATACTGTTATGGACAACTTAAGTCTTTTGACAAGATGGACCAAAAACTGTGATGGGTTACCACCAAATATGCAGTCACTCAGAGCCAAGATCAAGAAATTTTATCCTTTGCAAGTATAAATATACAAAAATGGCATCTCTATGTATTGAGAAATTTTCAAGATTTTTACATACATGCTCAAAGTTTACCCACAAAGTCAACATTGTGATAATGCATTTCATGGAGTCAAATTTGAAAAAAAAATGCACAAAATGAATTAGTACTCAGTAGAAGTCTTTGCTCAATTTATGCCTCCAGTATTAGAAATGATGCAAAGATGAAATATGTAGCATAATAAATTGTAAAAAATAATGCTAATGACTTAGATAAGTGGGGAATAAAACTTAAAAAAAACAACATGTGAAAAAAATATATCACAGAGACAGATGATGGACAATTGCACGGAGGTAGTCCATAAGAGCTGGCCAACTTTCATGATCATTAACTATATTTTGAAGCTTTGCATCTCAATAAATAGCTGCATTTTTTTCTTTTAGGGTATGGCTTTCCTTGTAGAACATGTTCATATTCATTTTCTACATGGCCCTGCTCTTTTTGAAATTCTTCTACGACTTGATATACACCGATGTGAGCATTCCCTGTTAAATTTTTCCATTTTCTGTGCCATGCTGTTTTGGGGACATGGAAATCCATTCTGCATACACTGATACACAGACCACAGATTTGATGGAAACAATAGTGGTAATGAAACAGCAACACCACTGCATAAGTGTCTTCTTAACCTACCATGCACAAAATTATTTTTAAAACAGTCAGTAACTTCACTGGCTTCCTAAGGCAAATGTGGCTTTAACTCATTAAAAGTCTGGGAATTTCATTCATTGGAAGGAATGCCAATGCAGACAAATGACACATTTTTAAACTGAAGTTTTCATCATTGCCATATTGTGTTTCCAACCTACTCATCTGAATTTTCCACCAAATGCAAATAAAGACAATAGCAAGGCAAAAGTTCCACCTAACATGATTTAAGTAGCATGATGCAACTATCCTGCATATAAACACAAACACACTAATCCCTTCCCCATAATTCAGCTTTCAGGATTTCAACATTCAGGATTTTAATCTCTTGGGATTTTGGACATTCAGGATTATCATCAGCACTGATGAGGTAGATACTAATGTTATTCCCTTTTTATACAGGGAGAAACAGGCACAGAAATATCAGGTAACTTGCCCAAGGTCACACAACTAGAAGGTGGCCAAGCTGATATTCAAACCATATCTATCTGACATCAAGGCCTACCACATACATATGCCAATGTCCATATGTCTCAAACTATGATCCCTGGATTATCTGCATTAAGATTACTTAGGGTGCTTGTTTAAAATGCAGATTAGAAGACCCCACCTTCAATTATTGAATCAGAAGCTCTGTGTGGGGATTAAACTGTAGTTTACTAAATTGGTGGGGGGTATCTTTGAACTCCGCAGAGATGAGGACACACCATTTTGGGGGGAATATGTCTTTACCATTATGTTTGGTATTCACCAGAATAGGTCAGCCAAATCAAAGGCAATATAATCTCAGTCCTTCATGGTGGAGTGAGAGAGAGAAATGAAGGAAGGACAAAGAAGAATCAAGAAACTCTGTCCCTGCTCTTATTCTTCCCCTCTGTACCTAATTGGAGCCACTGACTTCATAATAGCAAATCAAGAGTGAGGCGAGTTTAGCAACTTGGCTTACAGAATATTATAAATAATTATCGCTTTGCTTCCTTTATAGTATGCTTTAGAACTCCAAAGAAATAAGCAGTCTTTACATAAGTTCTTTATTTTAAAAAGCAATTTAAGGCAGATCCTCTGAAAACCATTTGAGCTCCAAGTAGAATCAAGTTAGATAATAACAAGTGTAGGCTCAATTCCACCTTTTCTACTTTTTCCTCTGAATTGCTTTTCTTTCTTTCATCCTATAAAGACATTTTCATTTTATTTTCACGTTTGAGTTTGTTTGGGCTTTTCTCTCCAGAAGCAATGATTTCATACTTCTCCTTGGTTGACTTGTGTTTTATTCATTGTACTTCACCCCCCATGAAGTTTCTCCATGGAAAGCTTTTATCTGTATGTTACGGCCTCACCTCTTGCCTGACCCACCCCTAGGAGATGATGGGCAGCTGTCCTCATTATTTTACAGTCGCTCTCCACCAGCAAGAACTGCATCTCTGCAGAAAGAGAATCATAACTATGAATGCTAAAGTTTAGGGCCTGGCTCGTATGAACAACAACAACAAGAGCTCATGTCTAGGTTTACAATTCTACCCTAAATATTCTCTATTTTGTTGTTGTTGTTGTTGTTGTTGTTATTAAGAGGTCCAGAATCCATTTCTGTAATAGTTATGGCCCCTAACAGAGGGGGCAGAAATGCTTTGAATTCAAAAAAGGATAGGAATTTTAACTGGGCACAGGGTAGTCCAAGCCTCTTAGGAAAACAATTTCACAAATTTTTTCTAAGTCCCAATATTGTCATCTCTTTCCCTGTTTCCTCCAAATCTCATTGCTACCACCACCACCAATTGCCATGGCAACCCACCCAAGGAAGATGAACTTGTCTTATGTAACCTATTTGGGGTCTTGCTCTTCATGTCTTATTTCATGACTTACACCATCACCAGGTAGGCCTCAGCCAGACTCCATGATTTCTATCCCCACCTAACAGGTGCCTAATAAAGCACAGATAGCTTAAACCCCACATAACCAAATTTAACATATAAGTTATGCTACTCCCAGCAAGCCTCCAAACTGTAGCAGAGACACCTTAAGACAGTAGTTGGAAACAACAGGAAAATTATTTGGCAAATACAAGGCCTTTCAAGGGCATTCTGCCTTGAGGAAATAGTGTAAGGTACAAGGTAGAGAATGGTGAGGTGGAAGAGTTAAAAATTTTTCTTCCCTTCTGTTTCACTCCAGTTCTGTTTAAGTATTAAAAATTTCTGACATTTGCATCTATTTAGTACTGTTCAACTAATATCCCTAACTTGGACAACAACTGGAACAATCAACATTTAGTTGTTATTGTTGTAACCAGCAATGATGACAAATGTATAACTACCTTTCTTCAACCAACACCATGGAACCATTTTACTGAAACAACTGGTTAAATTACAATGAAGCTATCAAAGAAAGGATTTTTCTCAGTGCTTCTATGTGAAAGGAAAGTTCTACCTAGGCTTGGAACAGGCATATTTAGTGTTGCCTGCAAAGTGATCCAGAGTCTACTAACCCATTCTGGAGAGCCTGACTAAGGACTATGTTCTCAGTGTCAATGACACAAAACTGAGTAATAGCCTGTCCCAACAGAGACCTTCCAGTCTATTTTTAATCCAATCAGAAATTAACTCTCAGATTTTTACCTTACTTAAAATAAAGTTTCTTTCTTAGACTAGATCTAACTCTCTTGTTTTCTATTTAAAGAAACTAAAGTATCTTTCCTAAGGAATGTGGGTCTCCCTTGCCTAGCAATCAATCAACTGAGCTTTGTTTCAGACTATTTGTCATTGAATCTGTCCTGTGATAGACCCACCTAGTTCTTTGACTTTATTACATTGTACAATAGACGAGCATAATTTCTCGTAAGTTGGGACATCCAACTATTCATCCATCTATATAGCTGTTCTTTTACCCACCCAACGATTGCAATGTTTTCCAACTTTCTTAACATAATGGCGCACATAAGACAATTTTACTTCATACTGGTGTAAACAGATGAAGCTGCCAGAGGTGGAAAGAGACTGGTCCTGAGACCCTTGCAATCTCTACCTGAGCCCAGATCCTGAAGGGCTAAGTGATCAGTATCTCAGCACACAAGTTACTCACTCAGAAAGCCCATTTGTGCCATGACCTGCCAGGGAATGACTATGATATTTGCACTAAGAGCTGAGCTAAACCATGAAGACAGAATTCAAAGGCATGGTTCTGGCCCTTATAGAGCTAAGAGCCAAGTGAGGACCAACTGAGCAAATTGTTTTGAGGGTAATAAGTGCTGCAAAAGGAGAAATATGGGGGTGGTATTAGCATATAATAGAAGACTTGCCTAATCTGGGAAGCCAATTAATTAGAGCTCAGTGAACTTTGGAAGTGATCCAAAAGAACAGGGTCAGAATTCAGCACTGTGAGGAGGCGAGAGGTATGTTTAGAGAACACTATAAAAGGGATTAGGTGTGCTAATCTGTTCTCTTTTTGAGATACTGTCATGATATCTAACTCTTTCCTCTTTTTGACATCATTGACCATTGCACAATTGCTGCATGTATAACATACTTCCCAGATATAATTTTTCAAATACTTAATTTTCTTTCATATTTACATACCTCTCACACATTAGTACAAAAAAAGAAAATCAGCACCCTCATTTGAAAGCTGCAGAATCCTGAGAAGTGGACTAATGATGCATAACATTCATTGAATGCTGAATCCATGCAAGCCACTGTGCTGAGCATGTTTATATGAACTATCTCTTTTGAAACCTCACAATGACTCCAAAGAAGCAGGTGCTGTGTGTTCCCCCAATTTACATATGAGGAAACTGAGATTCTGAGACAAGAAGTAATTTAACAGAAGTCAGAAGTGATGGGACTCAACCAGGCATTGTGGCTCACGCCTGTAATCCCAGCACTTTGGGGGGCCAAGGCAGAAGGATCACTTGAGCTCAGGAGCTCAAGACCAGCCCAGGAAACAGAGTGAGACCTCATCTTTGCAAAAAATAAAAAAATAAAAAATTAACCAGTTGTGGTGGCATGTGCCTGTGGTCCCAGCTACTTGGGAGGCTGAGATTTGAGGATCACTTGAGCCCGGGATGTTGAGGCTGTAGTGAGCCATGATCATGCCATTGCCTCCAGCCTGGGTGACAGCGCAAGACCCTGTCTAAAAAAAAAAGAGAGAAGTGTTGGGACTCAAATTGAAAGCAGGCAGTATGAAGTCAGAGCTCCTGTTCCTGCCATTAGGCAATACTGCTTCCACTGGGGTAAGACCAGAAAAACCCAAGACTGCAAGAAGGACTTCATAGCCAACATGAACTCTCCTTTTTCAGTAATGAGACTCACTCACTGAATGCACATGACTGCAAACACTTACTTTTCTGAATCTAAAACTAGTTCCCAGTTGGTACTGCTGCTGGAAGGCTTTCTACATAGGTCTGTCTTGCACTCTGAAAGGTAAACTGTTATTTGATTTCTACTGGCAGAAAGGTGATACAGGAATGCAAGAAGCAACGGGAGAAATCAAGTAGAATCTTAGACTCACAGACTTACCACCTGGAAGTGAGCTCTGAGACCAGGAAGACTGGCCATTTCAGTTCTTCTGCAGCATTAGCTCAGGCATCTGGCATTCAAGCTTTTCTAGTGGGATTATTCAGAGCAGTTCTCAAATTTGAGCATGGATCACAATCACCTGAAGGGCAGGTTAAAAGACAGATTGCCAGAGTTGCAGAACTGTAAATCTGGGTGGGGTCTGAAAATATGCATTTCTGATTGGGTAAGGTGGCTCATGCCTGTAATCCCAGCACTTTGGGAGGCTGAGGCAGGAGGATCATTTGAGTTTAGGAGTTCAGGAGTTCAAGGCTACAGTGAGCTATGATCATGACACTGCACTCCAACCTGGGTAACAGAGATCCTGACTCTTAAAAAAAGAAAAAAGAAAAAAAAAAGAAGAAGTAGAAAGAAGGAAAATTTGCATTTCTAATGAGTTCCCAGGTGATGATAATCATGCTGATCCAAGACTACCCTTGAAGATCTAGATCAGATTTTGTTGTTGCTTTTTTAAGCAAGCAAGCAAGCAAGATGGAGAAACCAAGGCATAGACCTAGCTTCTTTTTTAAAGATGGAGCAACTGAGGCATAACAAGGTAAAGTAACTTGTGCAGGATCACACTGCGAGTTTTGCCCAAAGTCGTCTTCCTTTAAGCATGAGTGATTTCTCCTCTGTCTTTGGTCCAAACTTTTATATACATATATATATATATATATATATATATATACACACACACACACACACACACACACACACACACCTACACACACATACACATACATAGTTTTTCCTTTGTAACAACAGAAAGCTTGTCTATCACTAAAACAAATGTATTGAGCTAGGAAGTAATTACATTGAAAATTATAGTAGGACTATGCTTCCACAATAAACTGTCTTGAAATTATTCTTAAATTCTTCTTAGTTTTTCACTCTTATACTTAAAAAGCACTCTCAGGCATTCTACTTTGCTCAAGGAAGTTAATGAAAATAGTCCCGTTTGGAGTCAGGCATACTAGTGCAACATACACATTAAGACTCATGTTATTTCTCTCTGTGATTTTCACAATCCATATATCAGAGAAAAGAAATACTCAATGTCCAGTTGTGGTTTTGCCTTGGGCTGCCAGTCTCTTCTCCTTGCCTCAGGTTTTTTTTTTTTAACTTATAAAATGAGGAGAGTAACCTCTAAGGTCTTTTCTTCAACTCCAACTTTCTACAGACCTGAGTAAAAACAGAAGAAACATATCTGAACCAAAGGAAGCCTGAATGACAATGAATTCTGTTTAAATAGCACCCCCATTACAAATAACCACAAAAAAAGAAACACACAGTCCCTAGAGAACAATGTCATGGTGATGGTGGTGAACAGAAGGCAGGAAGAGAGGTAGGGAGCCATTTGAGGCTGGGTCTGAAAAGGTGGAAGCAAATGAATCGGGACATTCTCAGTGATTCATTCTGTTTACCCTATTTTTCTTTCCCTCCAATAAATAAAGAGATCCACAACACATGAGGATTTTTTTAAGATTATTTTTATTTATAATGATTTTTTGTTTATGCTTGGCAAAAAAAAAAAAAGAGTCACAGGATGCTTGAGTATTTTTTCAAGAAAAGATGCTGCGAAGAGCCACAATGTATTGCTCATTAAGGGAAAATCCACTCCTTGCATAGCAACAAAACATATGCCAACCAGAAATATGAAGCCCAATTCACCCCCATTTAGGTAAAAGGATGAAACTGTCAAAAGACTACGCTGCCATCATTTTAAGATTAACACCTGTCAAGGAGAAAAGGAAACTAGCGTAGGTGCATAATCTGTCTGAGAGTCAAGGTCAGAAGCAAGCAGGTCCGTATTTTATTCATTTTTCTACAGGTACAAAAAGATTACATCTAGCAGATGGAGGCTTTTAGCATAAAATAAGCTCTTGTGGCTGCATTTACTCGCAACAACGAGAAATATATGGCTACAGATGGCCATCTGTTTCTTAATTTTAAGGTAGAGGGCAAAGAAAGTATCTCAACTTTAGTTTTTAGACTTACTGAATAGTCATTATTATTTGTAAGCACAGACATCATTAACAACTTTCATTCTGCATTGTTTGTGTCTAAGGTCTATGTATATTGTATGAGGGTTTTTGCCAAAATGATAATATCAGATGCCTATATGTATATATACATATATACCATCAGCCCTTTTTTAAAAAAGTAGCTGCTTGCAAATTAGCACCTGAGCACCCATTCCTGTTAAGGGCTCAATTTGCATTCTTACATTCTTCTTTGTTCTGAGTGATATATTCTCACAGAAATGGAGCTGTTTCTGGAATTATGGAAGACAAAAAACTCATGAGATTTATTTTCTTTATCCTGAGGCTACCAAATGAGACCAAGGCACTTAAGAACAGAAAGTTAGGCCCTGACACTAAAAAGAGATGTGCACATTGTGATGAATTAGGAAGTTTTATGTTGAGGCATGCTACAACGCACCTTTTCCAAGTCCTACAGAAATTAAGATGCTCAGATTTTCCCATATACAGCTCCTCAGAAAGAGGCCATGCTGGGGTGGAGATGATGCCTAGAACCTGTTTTGGTGGTTAGAACATCACAGGGAAACACATGGAGCTGGAGGTAAGAGTCAAAGTGCTAAAGCATTTAAGCAAAGAACATTATGTGAGATACCACTCATGCAGGGGCCAAGGAGAAAGTTCTCCTTGGCCCTCTACAGGTTTGCTGAAAAAAAAAATCAACTCAAAAAAAAAAGTCAGATAAATTGGAGAAAAGGCATCCAAATTTATTTAATGAACATACATGGGAGACTTCAGAAAGAAGACCCAAAGATACCGGGTATAAACTAAAAATAAAATCTTAAGCCTCATCCCTCTTGGCCAAGGGACCGCAGAGATACCTTAAAAACTGAGTTTCCAGCCATGACAGGAAGGAAGGACAGACATGCCTCAATACACTGCCCCCGCTTTTGGAGTTTGGACATAACAACTGACTGGTATTCATGTTTAAAAAGAGGTCATAAGACTAACAAAACAGACTGTTTGTGGCAATAAGATACCAAATTATAAATAAGACCTAAGGCCATGCAGGCAACGGTTAAGTCATGCCTGCAGGCCATCAATCTCTTAATCATCTAAACCTATCATATTTTGGCTGACTGACATGGCATCCTTATCTTTTCATAAACCTTCCTTTCTGCTAACTTCAAGTTTTTAGACAAAGTTGTGTTCTTTTAACCAATTGAAGATTAAAGAATCTCTGAATCCATTGATGACTTACCATCTCCTGCTTCAAGACATCCTGCCTTTTCGGGCCAAACCAATGTATACCTTTCATATATTGACTTATGTCTTTGTGTCTGTAACTTCTGCCTCCCCAAAATATATAAAACCAAACTGTAAAGCCAGGCATAGTGGCTCACACCTATAATTTCAGCACTTTGGGAAACCGAAGCAGGTGAATTGCTTGAGCCTAGGAGTTTGAGAGCAGGGTGAGATACATGGCAAAACCCCGTCTCTACAAAAAAAAAAAACACAAAAATTAGCCAGGCATGCTGGTGTGCACCTGTAGTCCCAGCCACTCAGGAGGCTGAGGTGAGAGGATCTCTTGAGCCCAGGAGGTGGAGATTGCAGTGAGCTGAGATAGCACCACAGCACTCCAGGCCGGGCAATGGAGAAAGACTCTGTCTCAATAAATAAATAAATAATGTTTTATTTTATTTTTTTAAATGAAATCATTGTACTTTATTAATAATTTTAACTAAAAATCATTTATCTAAATATTATTTTTAAAATTTACTTTAAAATATTCTATATATTTAAGCTAATTATCCAGGCTTTATATATCTTTTTCCATAAGTTATTGGGGTACAGGAGGTATTTGGCTACATAAGTTCTTTAGTGGTGATTTGTGAGATTTTGGTGCACCCATTACCAAATCAGTATACACTGAACCATATTCGTTGTCTTTTATCCCTCACTCCCCTCACAGTCTTCCCCTCAAGTCCCCAAAGTCCATTGTATTATTCTTATGCCTTTGCATTCTCATGGCTTAGCTCCCACCTATCAGTGAGAACATACGATGTTTGGTTTTCCATTCCTGAGTTACTTCACTTAGAATAATAGTCTCCAATCTCATCCAGGTCACTGCAAATGCTGTTAATTCATTCCTTTTTGTGACTGAGTAGTATTCTATCATATACATATATATTTGATATCATATATATATTCTATCATATATATGATATATATATCAATTATATATATTTGATATCATATATATATTCTATCATATATATATATATATATATATATATATATACACCACAATTTTTTTATCACCTCATTGATTGATAGGCATTTGGGTTAGTTCCACGATTTTGCAATTGTGAATTACGCTGCTATAACATGCGTGTGTAAGTTATCTTTTTCATATAATGACTTCTTTTCTTCTGGGTAGATACCTCGAGTGGGATTGCTGGATCAAATGGTAGTTCTACTTTTAGTTCTTTAAGGAATTTCCACACTGTTTTCCGCAGTGGCTGTACTAGTTTACATTCTCACCAGCAGTGTAGAAGTGTTTCCTGATCACCGCATCCATGCCAACATCTACTGTTTTTTGGTTTTTTTATTATGGCCATTCTTGCAGGAGGAAGGTGGTATTGCACTGTAGTTTTGACTTGCATTTCCCTGATCATTAGTGATGTTGAGCATTTTTTCATGTGTTTGTTGGCCATTTGTATATCTTCTTTTGAGAATTGTCTATTCATGTCTTTAGCCCACTTTTTGATGGGATTGTTTGTTTTTTTCTTACTAATTTGTTTGAGTTCGTTGTAGGTTTTGGAAATTAGTCTTTTGTCAGATGTATAGATTGTGAAGATTTTCTCCCACTTTGTGGGTTGTCTGTTCACTCTGCTGACTGTTCCTTTTGCCGTGCAAAATCTCTTTAGTTTAATCAAGTCCCAGCTATTTATCTGTTTTTATTGTGTTTGCTTTTGGTTCTTGGTCATGAAACCCTTGCAAAGCCAATATCTACAAAGATTTTTCCAATGTTATCTTCTAGAATTTTTATAGTTTCAGGTCTTAGGATTAAGTCCTTAATCAATCTTGAGTTGATTTCTGTATAAGGTGAGAGATGAGGATCCAGTTTCATTCTCCTATATGCGGCTAGCCAATTATCTCTTGTTGAAAAGGGTGTCCTTTTCCCACCTTATGTTTTTGTTTGCCTTGTTGAAGATCAGTTGGCTGTAAGTATTAGGGTTTACTTCTAGGTTCTCTATTCTGTTCCATTGATCTATGTGCCTTTTTCTTTTCTTTCTTTTTTCTTTTTCTTTTCTTTTTTTTTTTTTTTTTTTTTTTTTTTTGAGACAGAGTCTCACTCTGTCACTTAGGCTGAAGTGCAGTGGCACAATCCCGGCTCACTGCAGCTTCCACCTCCCAGGTTCAAGAGATTCTCCTGCCCCAGCCTCCTGAGTAGCTGGGACTACAGGTGCACGCCACCACACCCAGCTAGTTTTTGTATTTTTAATAGAGATGGGGTTTCACCATGTTGGGCAGGCTGGTCTTGGACTCCTGACCTCAAATGATCCACCCACCTAGGCCTCCCAAAGTGCTGGGATTACAGGTGTAAGCCACCGCACCCAGACCTGTGTGCCTATTTTTCTACAAATACCATGCTGTTTTGGTGACTCTGGTGGCCTTATTGTATAGTTTGAAATCAGGTAGTGTGATGCCTCCAGGTTCATTCTTTTTGCTTGGTCTTGCTTTGGCTATGGGGGCTTTTTTATGGTTCCATATAAATTTTAGAATTGTTTTTTTCTAATTCTGTGAAGAATGATGGTGGTATTTTGATGAGAATTGCATTCAATTTGTAGATTGCTTTTGGCAGTATGGTGATTTTCACAATATTGATTCTACCCATCCACGAGCATGGGATGTGTTTCCATTTCTTTGTGTCATCTATGATTTCTTTCAGCAGTATTTTGTAGTTTTCCTTGTAGAGGTCTTCCAGCTCCTTGGTTAGGTATATTCCTAAGTATTTTATTTTTTTGCAGCTATTGTAAAAGGGGTTGAGTTCTTGATTCGATTTTCTGCTTGGTCACTATTGGTGTATAGCAGAGCTACTTATTTATGTACATTAATCTTGTATCTGGAAACTTTGCTGAATTCTTTTATCAGTTCTAGGAGCTCTCTGGAGGAGTCTTTAGGGTTTTCAAGGTAAACAATCATATCATCAGCAAACAGTGACAGTTTGACTTCCTCTTTACTTGGATGCCCTTTATTTCTTTCTCTTGTCTGATTGCTCTGGCTAGCACCTCCAGTACTATGTTGAAGAGGCGTGGCAAGAGTGGGCATCCTTGCCTTGTTCCAGTTCTTAGAGGGAATGCTTCCAATTTTTCCCCATTCAGTGTTATGTTGGCTGTGGGTTTGTCATAGATAGCTTTTATTACATTGAGGTATGTCCCTTGTATGCCAATTTTGCTGCAAGTTTTAATCATAAAGCAATGCTGGATTTTGTCAAAAGCTTTTTCTGCATCTATTGAAATGATCATGTGATTTTTGTTTTTAATTCTGTTTATGTGGTGTATCACATTTATTGACTTGCATATGTGAAACCATCCCTGCATCCCTAGTATGAAAGCCACTTCATCATGGTAAATTATCTTTTTGATATGTTGTTGGATTCAGTTAGATAGTGTTTTGTTAAGGATTTTAGTATCTATGTTCATCAAGGATATTAGTCTGTAGTTTTCTTTTTTGGTAATGTCCTTTCCTGGTTTGGGTATTAGGGTGATGCTGGTTTCATAGAATGAATTAGGGAGGGCTCCTTCTTTCTCTATCTTGTGGAACAGTGTCAAAAGGATTGGTACCAATTCTTCTTTGAATGTCTGGTAGAATTCTGATGTGACTCCATCTAGTCCTGGACTTTTTTTTGCTGGTAATTTTTAAATTACCATTTCAGTCTCGCTGCTTGTCATTGGTCTGTTCAGGGTGTCTAATTCTTCCTGATTTAAGGTAGGAGGGTTGTATTTTTCCAAGAATTTATCCATCTCTTTTAGATTTTCTAGTTTATGTGCATAAAGGTGTTCATAGTAGCCTTGAATGATCTTTTATATTTCAGTGGTGACGGTTGTAATATCACCTGTTTCGTTTCTTAGTGAGATTATTTGAATTTTCTCTCTCCTTTTCTTGGTTAATATTGCTAATGGTCTATCAATTTTATTTATCTTTTCAAAGAACCAGCTTTTTGTTTCATTTATCTTTTGTATTTTTTGTTTTGTTTCCATTTCATTTAGTTCTACTCTGATCTTGGTTATTTCCTTTCTTCTGCTGGGTTTGGGTTTGGTTTGTTCTTGTTTCTCTAGTTCCCTGAGGTGTGACCTTAGAATGTCAGTTTGTGCTCTTTCAGTCTTTTTGATGTAGGTGTTTAGGGCTATGAACTTTCCTCTTAGCACCACCTTAGCTGTATCCCAGAGGTTTTGGTAGGCTGTGTCATTATTGTTGTTCAGTTCAAAAAATTTTTTAGTTTCCATCTGGATTTCATTTTTGACTCAATGCTCATTTAGGAAGAGGTTATTTAATTTCCATATACTTGCATGGTTTTGAAAGTTCCTTTTGGAGTTAGTTTACAGTTTTATTCTACTGTGGTCTGAGAAAGTGTCTGATATAATTTCAATTTTCTTTTTTTTCTTTTTTTTTTTTGTTTGCTGTACTCATCAATCTGTCACCTACATTAGGTATTTCTCCTAATGTTATCCCTCTCCTAGCCCCACCCTCCGACAGGCTCCAGTATGTGATATTCCCCTCCCTATGTCCATGTGTTCTCATTGTTCAACTCCCACTTATGAGTGAGAACTCATAATTTCTAAAATGACATTTCTTTAACTTCTAATTTTCCTGAATTGTCATTTCATTTCTGAGTTTTATTGTTTAAACTTATATTGTTTCATCTCATGAATCATTTCCTTAATATCTTCTAGCTTATCTTAAAATATTATGTTGTGGTTTTCATCTGTTTTATGGACATATTTTTCTGACTTTCATTGACACTAAGGATCATACTCTGTTCCTTATTTTCTTTTAATCTTATAAAATCTTTATGTGGGGTTTGATCTTGATACTTTTTAAGTTATTCATTTTTATGTGAAATAAGTTTTCCTGAAGTTTTAAAATGAGGCGGGGTTCAGGAAACTTTACCTGATTTTACAGATTTCCCTCTTCTGTTGCTTTGAGTTATGTTTTAAAATACGGCAGCTTGCCTTTTGGGATTTCTGGGATTTCCCCACTTTTTTCTAGTCCTTCTGTTTCCATACTCTCTTATTAGTCTGTCTGTTTTTATGTGGCAGGTTCAGAAAGATTAAAAAACTACACTACTGCCATCAGCTTCCCAGAATCCTTCAGATCTGATGGTTTCATTGTGTTTGTCTTCTGGCTTCACCCACCTTCCCTCTCCTCAATTTTCTTAAATTTGTTGAGGCTCATTTTGTGGCTTATCTTGGAGAAAGTTCCATGCGCTGTTGAATAGAATATGTATTCTGCAGTTGTTACATGAAATGCTCTGTATATATCTGTTAATTCCATTTGTTCCAAGATATAGTTTAAATCCATTGTTTCTTTGTTGACTTTGTCTTGATGACCTGTCTAGTGCTGTCGGTGGAGTATTGAAGTCCCCCCACTATTATTGTGTTGCTGTCTATCTCATTTCTTAGGTCTATTAGTAATTGCTTTATACATTTGAGAGCTCCAGTGTTAGGTTCATATATGTTTAGGATTGTGATATTTTCCTGTTTGAAAATGTGAGAAAACATTTTAAATGGTCCATTTTCAAGGCATGATAAATCTAAGTACTGGCAGCCAGCCTGAGGATGTGACAAACCACATGTCTCATGCACCTAGAAAGTTACAATAAGCAAACAGAATGTAGAGGAGGGGTCAGCTTACAAAAGGGAAGAAAGTTTTGTTGTTGGGAAATCAAAACTTAAGCAGGGAAGGGGATGGGGTATAACCTTATAAGGGAGATAATGAAAATTAGGCGACATCTGGGAAGATTGTAACCCCAGAGTACTCGACCAATGAGGAACTGGGGGAAGGACTTGTGTGCTAGGAGATAAATTACCTGTTGTAACTGTCCCAGGTGTGCCTGCCTACTAGACACTCAATTTTGCAAGACTGCCATTAAAAGTCTCGCTTCTGCTGTTCTTCGTGTCTCCAAGTCCATTCTTTGGGTTTGGATGGGTGAATGTGTGTGTCTCACAGACAAGGTATTTTACCATTATATATATGTCCCTCTTTGTCTCTTTTAACTGCTGTTGCTTTAAAGTTTGTTTTGTCTGATATAAGAATAGCTACCCCTGATCACTTTTGGGGTCCATTTTCATGAAATGCCTC
Source organism: Homo sapiens (assembly GCF_000001405.40). Lineage (NCBI taxonomy): Eukaryota > Metazoa > Chordata > Mammalia > Primates > Hominidae > Homo > Homo sapiens. The sequence goes on along the minus strand of NC_000005.10, from coordinate 155,203,929 downwards.
TTTCCATCCCTTTACTTTATGTGAGTCCTTACGTGTTAGGTGAGACTCCTGAAGGCAGCAGATAGGTGGTTGGTGAGTTCTTATTTATTCTGCCATTCTGCATATTTTAAATGGAGCATTTAGGCCATTTACATTCAATGTTAGTATGGAAATGTGAGGTACCATTGCATACATTGTGCTATTTGTTGCCTGTGTACTTTGTTTTTTTTGTTTTTTGTTTTTGCTTTTTAACTTATATTTTTGTTTTATAAGTCCTGTGTGATTTATGTTTTAAAGAGGTTCTGTTTTGATGTGTTTCCAGGATTTGATTCAAGATTTAGAGCTCCTTTTAGCAGTTCTTGTAGTGCTGGCTTGGTAGTGGTGAATTCTCTCAGCATTTGTTTGCCTGAAAAAGACTGTATCTTTCCTTCATACATGATGCTTAGTTTCACTGGATACAAAATTCTTGGCTGATAATTGTTTTGTTTGAGGAGGCTGAAGATAGGGCCCCAATACTTTCTAGCTTATAGGGTTTCTGCTGAGAAATCTGCTGTTAACCTGATAGGTTTTCCTTTATAGCCTACCTGGTGCTCCTGTCTCAAGGCTCTTAAGATTCTTTCCTTCATTTTAACTTTGAATAACCTGATGAAACTGTGACTAGGTGATTATCTTTTTGCGATGAATTTCCCAGGTGTTCTTTGTACTTCTAGTGTTTGGATGTCTAGGGCTCTAGTAAGGCTGGGGAAATTTTCCTCAATTATTCCCCCAAATATGTTTTCCAAGCTTTTAGAATTCTCTTCTTCCTCAGGAACACTGATTATTCTTAGGTTTGATCATTTAACATAATCCAAGACTTCTTAGAGGCTTTGTTCACATTTTCTTATTCTTTTTTCTTTGTCTTTGTTGGATTGGGTTAATTCGAAGACCTTGTCTTCAAGCTCTGAATTTCTTTCTTCTGCCTGTTCAATTCTATTGCTGAGACTTTCCAGAGCATTTTGCACTTCTATAAGTGTGTCCAATGTTTCCTGAAGTTTTGATTGTTTTTTCTTTATGCTATCTATTCCCTTGAATATTTCTCCCTTCACTTCTTGTATCATTTTTTGGATTTCCTTGAATTGGGCTTCACCTTTCTCTGGTGCCTCCCTGATTAGCTTAATAACTAACCTCCTGAATTCTTTTTCAGGTAAATCAGGGATTTTTTCTTAGTTTGGATCCACTGCTGGTCATCTAGTGTGATTTGGAGGGGGTTTGGGGAGGATTAAAGAGCCTTGTTTTGTCATATTACCAGGGTTGGTTTTCTGGTTCCTTCTCATTTGGGTAGGCTCTATTGAGAGGTGAAGCTGGCTAGGCTTCTGGGTCAGGTGGGGACTTGGAGAACTTTTCTGTCTAGCTAAAGGATTGTAAACACACCAATCAGTGTTCTGTGTCTAGCTAAAGGTTTGTAAATGCACCAATCAGCACTCTGTAAAAACACACCAATCAGCACTCTGTGTCTAGCTAAAGGTTTGTAAATGCACCAATCAGCACTCTGTTAAAATGGACCAATCAGCGCTCTGTGTCTAGCTAAAGGTTTGTAAATGCACCAGTCAGCACTCTGTTAAAATGGACCAATCAGCGCTCTGTGTCTAGCTAAAGGTTTGTAAACACACCAATCGGCACTCTGTGTCTAGCTAATTGGGTGGGGACCTGGAGAACTTTTCTGTCTAGCTAAAGGATTGTAAATGCACCAATCGGCGCTCTGTGTCTAGCTAAAGGTTTGTCAACACACCAATCAGCACTCTGTAAAAATGCACCAATCAGCACTCTGCGTCTAGCTAAAGGTTTATAAACACACCAATCAGCACTCTGTAAAAACAGACCAATCAGCACTCTGTAAAATGGACCAATCAGCACTCTGTAAAATGGACCAATCAGCAAGATGTGGGTGGGGCCAAATAAGGGAATAAATGCCGGCCACCCGAGCCAGCAGTGGTAACCTGCTTGCATCCCCTTCCACACTGTGGAAGCTTTGTTCTTTCGCTCTTCACAATAAATCTTGCTGCTGCTTACTCTTTGAGTCTGCACTACCTTTATGAGCTGTAACACTCACAGTGAAGGTCTGCAGCTTCACTCCTGAAGTCAGCGAGACCTTACAAACCCACCAGGAGGAATAAACAACTCCGGATGTGCCACCTTTAAGAGCTGTAATACTCACTGCAAAGGTCTGCAGCTTCATTCCTGAAGTAAGCAAGACCACAAACCCACTGGAAGGAAGAAACTCCAGACACATCTGAAGGAACAAACTCCGGACACAGCATCTTTAAGAACTGCAACACTCACTGTGAGGGCCTGCGGCTTCATTCTTGAAGTCAGCAAAACCAAGAACCCACTGGAAGGAACCAATTCTGGACACACTATCAGAGGGAAGGTCTAGGGCTGAAGGCTGTTGTTCAGATTATTTTGTCCTATGGGGTGTTCCCTTGATATACTACTGTTCCCCTTTTCCGATGGATGTGGCTTCCTGTGAGCCGAACTGCAGTGATTGTTGTCTCTCTTCTTGGTCTAGCCACCCAGCAAGTCTACCCCACTTTGGGCTAGTACTGGGGGTTGTGTGCACAGAGTCCTGTGATGTGAGCCATCTACGAGTCTCTGAGCCGTGGATACCAGCCCCTGTTCCAGTGCAGGTGGCAGGGGGATGCAATGGACTCCATGACAGTTCTTAGCTTTGGAGGTTTAATGCTCTATTTTTGTGTTGTTTGGCCTCCTGCCAGGAGGTGGTGCTTTCCAGAAAGCTTCACCTATAGTAACGTGGAGAGGGACTGGCAGTGGGCATGGCTCTAGAACTCCCAAGAGTATATGGCCTTTGTCTTCTGCTACCAAGGTGGGTAGGGAAGGACCATCAGGTCAGGGCAGGGCTAGCCATGTCTGAGCTCAGACTCCTTGGGCAGGTCTTGCTGCAGCTGCTGTGGGGGATGGGGGTGAGAGTCCCAGGTCACTGGAGTTGTGTACCTCGGAGGATTATGGCTGCCTCTGCTGAGGCATGCAGGTTGTCAGGGAAGTGGGGGAAAACCAGCAGTCACAGGCCTCACCCAGCACCCACAAACTGTAGAGCCAGCCTCACTCCCACTGTGCTCCCCGCCCCAACAGCCCCAAGTCTGTTTCCAGGCAGTGGGTGAGACAGGCTTGAGAACTTGCCTCAGGGTACCTGCCTCCCTGAAGTGAGAGAAAAGGGCTTGGTTCTTCCCCCACCTGTGAAGTCTGCACACCGGATTTTCACCCTCTCCCGAGTTCTGGCCAGGAGGCTTCTCACCCTGCTCAAATTTTTACAAAGTTCAGCTAGAGATTTCCTTTTCCCTTTGGAGGTCTACCCCTGACTCCTCTGGCTGCCCTCCCAATGGATCCCTGTGGTGCTGGGCAGGAATGGGCTGCCTGGGGACCCAGCGAGCTCCCAGGGCCTTTCTGCTGCTTTCTCTGCCCATGTGTTTTGCTTGGCTCTCTAACTTGACTCAGCTCCAGGTAATGTTGAAAACTTCTCCCACAAACAGAACTTTAGTTTATCCAGTGGGGGTGTGTGTTCAGGAGAGGAGGATCTCCCTTTCCCACTTCAGCAGTTGGGGCACTCACAGTATTTGGGGTATCTCCTGGGTCCTGCAAGAGCAGTCTACTTCCCTCAGAGGGTTTGTGGCTCCTCTCAGGATTGCTAGCTTGTTCTTGCAGTTGATCTTAGCTAAAATTCATAATGCGAGCCTCTGCACGCTGCTCAGCCCTGAGCTGCAATCAATCTAGTCCTGCCTCTCATCTGCCATGATGATCCTCCTTCCAAATAAATATTAAAAAATAAAAACAAACTGTAATCTGACCGCCTTGGGCACAGTTTCTCAAGACTCCTTGAGACTATTTTTCCAAGTCACAGTCACTCATGTTGGTTCAGAATAAACCTCTTCCAAAATATTTTACAAAGTTTAGTTTTTCCATTAACAAGTAGAAACTGTCCTTTTATACGCTTAGATTCAACAAAGTATGGATGGCTATGTAGAAATAGGATTGGGCAAAAGGGTATAATCCAATGTTAATAGACGAAGTGGGGAAACCCAGCAAGGCCTGTCTGTCTAGATGTCTCTTGGCCTCTCTGAGCAGAATTCCTTCCTCCTGCATATGCAGCAGGACCCTCTCTGGAATGGGGGGGTCCTCTGATCTACAATCAAACAAGATAGGTCACATAATTTCTTTATGGTCTATTTTTACAAAGTAAGGCAGAGGAAAGTTAGAGTAATATTTTCAGGTTTTATAGCTGGCTTTGGAGAGAAGAGATTTTGTTTTTTATGACCCACCTTCAGGAAGGGGAGTTCTAATTTCTATGGCTACCCTCAGGGGGAGAATGAGACTGAGACACAGGAGGACAGAGGTCAGAGAAAAACTTCTGCTTCTGAGGCTGCTTCTGAGGCCCTCATTCTGGGGTGCTATTTTCTGAGCTCCAACACTCAGAATGGAAGAACTAGAGCCAACGTAACCAGGGGTGAGAAAAGGCTCATTCTGTATGTTCTGCTCCTGATTTATTTGGCAAATTCTTCCTTGTGTTACTTGTGTTAGTCTGTTTTTGTGTCATTCTAAAGAAATACCTGAGACTGGGTAATGTATAAAGAAAAGAAGTTTAATTGGCTCATGGTTCTGCAGGGTGTACAGGAAGTATGGCGCTGGCATCTGCCCATCTTCTGGTGCGGCCTCAGGAAGCTTTCAGTCATGGTAGAAGGTGAAGTGGGAGTAGGCGCATCACATGACGAGAGAGGGAGTGAGGTGGGAGGGGTGAAGTGCTACAAGCTTTTAAACAACCAGATCTCACGTGAACTCATTATATAATAGCAGGGACAGCACCAAGCCATTCACAAGGAATCCACCCCCTGACCCAAACACCTCCCAGCAGGCCCTACCCCCAGCATTGAGAATCTCATTTCAACACGAGATTTGGAGGGGACAAACATCCAAACCCTATCAACCCTGGTGCACCGCGAAGCTCGGAGTTCCTGCTGCCAATCATGCCCTTTTGTTTTTTAGGAGTGGGAAACCTGGCACAGCAAAACAAAATAAACAAAAATCCTATAAAAATACCCATGCTACAAACTTCAGGGAAATCAGTCAAAACCCAAAACAATACAAGTTAGTTAGTTAGATGCCATTTGGGGTTTTCCAAATGCCAAGTCTAACAGTCAGGCTACCCAGGATGGACTCTCAAACTTCCCTTCCCCTAGCAGAGAATAACAGAGTACATACTATCCCAACACCATTACAATCATTCATTTTGCTTTTAGTGTTGTCAATAGAAGGGAATGGATTTGTGAAACAGAAAATACTAATAAGCTAAAACAGGTTTGTTTTATTTCTCTGATGTAGGTTCACTGGTCAGCAATCTAACATTAAAAAAAAAAAAAAACTAAATTACCCAGAAGTGTTTTTTCCTCCTGAACCAAATTAACAGATGCAAAAGACAAAATTGCTTGCTTTTCCAAGGTACAGTTCACTTCAGTTGCTATAAGATGGACTCATGTTAAAATAGCCTCATCTCTTTAGACACAATATATTTTTTTTTTCTTTTAAGATGGAGTTTTGCTCTTGTCGCCCAGGCTGGAGTGCAGTGGCACAATCTCAGCTCACTGCAACCTCCACCTCCCACGTTCAAGTGATTCTCCTGCCTCAGCCTCCCAAGTAGCTGGGATTACAGGTGCTCACCACCACACCCATCTAATTTTTGTATTTTTAGTAGAGACGGGGTTTCGCCGTGTTGGCCAGGCTGGGCTCAAACTCCTGACCACAGGTGATCTGCCCGCCTCGGCCTCCCAAAATGCCACCACACCTGGCCTAGACACAATATTAGGGCAAAGCATTTGTTTCATTTTCTTTTGTGATATGGTAACTTGGATGTGGCCACAAGAGGAGACAGAGGAGAGGCTCAGGAAAACAAAATTTGTTATATTCATAGGTCCTGGAGATAGGAAGCATGGCATGTCACCCAGGACCACAATGGAAAGACATCAGGAGGGTCAGGAGGCAGGAGACAGGATCAAGGGAAAGGCACTAGACCAGAGCTTTTGTCGGGGTTTCCATGGGAAAGACAAGACAAGGCAAATAGTTTAGCATTTGGTGAGTCTGAATAATTTTAGCAGGTTCTAAATGATAGTGGAGATGGGGTCCTAGTTGGCTGGTACTTGTTTCTGGGATGATTACGGCAGAGGAGTATTGTCTCCTGGGTGTACAGGCCAGAGACAGGAGGGGTGGCTCTGGATTGGTTAGTTTGCCTATCAAAGGCACGCTCCTGGCTGAACACTTGCTATCTCTGAGAAGTCCCTGGAGGGTTTAGTCACTCCTGAGCCAGAAAAGTTTTTCTAAGATGCTGTCTTAGTCCATTCAGTCTGCTATAACATACCATAAACCAAAACACTTATAAACAACAGAAACTTATTTCTCACAGTTCTGGAGGCTGGGAAGTCAAAGATCAAGGAACAGGCAGATACAGTGTCTAGTGAGGGCTCATCTTCTGCTTCACAGAAAGCTGGTTTTCTCACCATAACCTCACATGGTGGAAGGGGCAAATGGTCTCTCTTGGGCCTCTTTTATAAGGACACTGTCTTAGGCCATTCTTGCATTGCTATAAAGAAATACCTGAGGCTGGGTAATTTATAAGAAAAGAGGTTTAATTGGCTCACAGCTCTGCGGGCTGTACAGGAAGCATGGCACCAGCATCTGATTCTGGGGAGGGCTCTGGGAAGCTTTTACTCATGACAGAAGGTGAAGTGGGAGCAGGCATGTCACATGGCAAAATCAGGAGCAAGAAAGAGAATTGAAGGGAGGTGCCACACACTTTTAAAAGACCAGATCTTGCAGAAACTCACTATCATGAAGACAGCACCAAGCCTTGAGGGATTCGCCCCCATGACTCAAACACCTCCCACCAGGCCCCACCTCTAGCTCTGGGGATTACAAATCAACAAGAGATTTGGGCAGGGACAAATATCCAAACTATATCGTACACTAATGCCATTTATGAGGGCTCCACCCTCAATAACTAATGGGGTTAGGATTCCAAAATATGAATTTTTGGGGGATATAATCATACAGATCTCAAAACATCATAATATACAGAATTAAAAAATAATAAATCAAAAAAAGTGTGTGTGTGTGTGTATGTGTATACACACACACACAATACAGCATTTAAACTAACTGGGTCCTAGAAAACAAGATCTGAACTTACTATTGGCTCAGGGGAAAGTCATTATAGGCTTTTGTAGCAATAATAATACCACCAGCTCTGCCTCAGAACTAATAGGAGACTCACTGCTTTCCCCTGCTAACCCATGCCCCCACTCTCTAGCTCTGCTTGCTGTAGGTTTTTTCTTCTTGGGCCAAAGAGCTGTCCTCCTGACACTTCAGAAATACAAGCTTGATTTGCTGTAAGCAAACTTGAAGTTCCATAAATCAGTATTTTTAGCAGGCAGATTCTATGTACCAATATTTATTTATAACATGATTATATCCACACTGAACTTCCTTCATAAAACTATTATGTCTGCTGGCCTTTAACACCATCTCATACAAAGCAGCAGTGGGCCATTACTTCTTGAAAACAAAAAGTTCTGTTTTGGCGGTGGAATTTTGTTGATTCTTAGCATTTAGGTTGAATCTTAGAATTTTGAGAACAAATAATTTGAAGCTTTGGAACTGTGCTGTTCAATACAGTGGCTACTAGCCACATGTGGCTATTTAAATTAAAATTAGATGAAATTAAAAATTCCATTCCTCAGTCACAATTGCCATATTTCAGGTCCTAAATCGCCACATGTGGGTAGTGGTTACTGTATTAGCACAGCATAGAACATTTCCATTTCAAAAGTTCTATTAGACAGAGCTGCTCTAGAAGCTTAAGTTGGAAGGGATCTTTCTTGTCTCTCAATTCCACATGCTGTGAAACCTAGGACTTCCCATAGAAAATCTCTGACAGAGATTCTAAAAACAAAATTTGAAGAAAGGAAAGTAAAGGTGTCTGAAAACTTCCTGAGAGTTTGTCATAGCAATTAAGACCCCAGGTTTGGAAGTTCAAGCTTCATTCAAAATCTAGTTTTCCACAAACTGGCTATGTAATATTGGCATGTCGCAGCATTTGTAAGCCTTGCTTTCCTCACTGTCTGTGGCCTATCCACAGCCTCTCCCCACTTCCTTCTTTCCTAGTAACAGAATCCCAGTGTATTTCAGTGGTTAACAGAGACCCATTGATTTCAAGAAGGTGGATCCCACCACAGACATAGGAGATGCAGTTCTGTATGAGATATTAAGGGAACTAGGCTCAGGAGGAATTCTCTTCCCACATAAAAAGACAAAGCCTGTGAGGAGCAGAACTTTGGTGCTTCCTCATCCTTCTTGCTTGCTCTGTGGACATAATGCCTAGAGCTGTAGCAGCCATCTTGCAGCCATGAGTTGTCAAGCATTAGGATTAAGGCCAATATTCTAAGGGTCAAAGAACAGAAGGTTGAGAGAACTTGGGCTCTGGATGACATCATTAAACAGCCACATACTTCTGCACTGTTTCATGTGGGAAAAATACGTACCTATGTTGAAGCTTCCATAAGTTTTGTTTAGTTACTTACATCAAAAGCTTTATAAATTGATATTTCATCTTGGATCAACAGTATTCAGCTTGGCTGCTTTAACTAAAAACCTCAAATAATGGAAGTTTTAAAAGATAGAAATTTGTTTCTATCCCAGGTAAAAGAGATATGAGGTACACAGTCCAGGGAAGGTCCAGCTTCACATGAATATCAGGGCCTCTTGCTGCTTCTCTCTTTCTGCTCCATCATACAAGCACTTGGTTTCCATCTTCAAAGTTACCTCATAGTCCAAGATGGCTACAGGAATTCCAGCCATCACAAAGACATTCCAGGCAGCAGGAAGGAGGAAAAGGAAAGGACAAATGGGTACTTCTCCCAGATGAGTTAGCATCACTTAAACAGCCAGTCTTAGAAGTTACACACAACACTCCCACCTAACAGCTCCTGCACCAGAATATAGTCCCACAGTATGCCTTGTTGCCAAGCAGCCTGGAAATATAGTCTTTTCGCTGGGAGCTATTGCCACCCCAATACAATCAGCATTCTTCTACTGAGGAATAAGGAGAGAACAATTCTCAGGTGGCAACTGACAGGCTGTTGTAAAACAAAGTGAGTTGATGCCAGAAAAATATCTGGCACGGTGCATGATATATATAAACTCTAAAAAAGAGTTGGGAGTGGGGATAGGAAGGGAGTAAAATATTTTATCTTCACCTTTGAGTTGTTTTGTAATGAGTTGGTCTTTGTTCCATTAATACAGCATTCTCCAAATTTTAGCATTTGCATACCATCTTTGTGTTTTTTCTATATTCATATACCACCTATATATTATTCCCTTTAAATCAACTTGACATTTAAGCTTAAATTTAAGTATATAATTCCCATAAATAGAAAACCAATATTCCTCTAATAATAACATAAAAATTATAGCTATTAAAAATTTCACTTTGGATATTACCTAAAACCACCTCACATGCCACATTTTTGGAAAACATTTCTCCATTAAATACTTCGGAATAAATGACTTTTGTGATTGATTGCCTCAGGTTTGCTTTGGTCATTAATCAATCTCCACTGCTACTTATTTGCTTCATCTAACAGCATAAGATGGAGATTATTCCTTAAATATCTTTAGTAATTAGAAAAACTGACATCTTCTTTGGGTTCAACCAACCTTTAATGAGAATTGATGACAAGAAGAATACGCTTATGGGACTTAAAAGAAAGCTGACACATTCAGCAGCTTCTTAATTTTCTTTTTTAGGATCCAGACAGAGCCCTATTGAGAAGTAATTTTTAAACACATTGTCAACTTCAAGTACGTCTTCAATATCTTTTCTTTTCAGTCTCTAATCTGTATTTAACTTTCCAGGCCAAACTCCTTGACGTGACATTCAAAGTGCTCTATGCTATCTCCCTACATTCCTCCACACACTTGACACTCGTCCCCAGTGTCCCTGGCATGTACAAGCCCCCACACTGTTCCTCAGCTGCTGTTGGCATCACTGTTTCCTCATACGTAAAATGGCAATTTTACCTCCTGCCTCATTTAACTGCTAAGCCTATCATGAGGATAAAATAAGACCATGCTGTGAAAGCTCTTGGAAAAGTGAAAAGTGCTCTGTGTAAGATGGCATCATCTCAGTCAACTGCCCTCATGCTGAAGTGGCTCTGAGCATGGGCTCTGCAGCCAGAGCACCTGGCTCACTACCATTTTCGTGCTGTGTGACCTTGGGGAAGTCACTGTATGTCTTCGCATCTCAGTTTCCTCTCCTGTAAAATGAGACTAGCACCTACCAATGTGGTATTATGAAGATTCAATGGGTTAATCCACAGGAAGCACTTAGAACAGTGCCTGGCACATAATGAGCTCTCAGAACGTGTTAGCTATTATCCTTATTATTATTATCTCCAAAGGACAGCAGTGAAAAGAGTGGGCTCCAGAGTCATGCAAATTTGGTTTCAAATCCCAGCCCCATGACTCACTACTGGGATGTAAATAGGTCACAAATTCACTCACATTGCTCTCCCAGGTGCCAAGGAAATGGTGTTTCTCTATTTATCTCCCTAACAGACCTGCTCTTTGACAGAAGCACTCACTTCCTGGGCAACGGGAAATGGGCAAACAAACAAACAATAAAACCTAGATGGAGTCCACTTCAGCAAACCTGAACTGACACAGTAATTTTAAATTCCTTAGGTAAGACTCACTCACTTTAAATATAAATGTTCGGTCATAGATTTCCACCCGCTTCCCTGCTCCTCTCCAAGACCAGAAATGTGGGAGGTGGACTTATGTAACCTGGCAGTGTTGTAACCAGGGCTGAGACTAGGATGCAGCAAGTGAGGTGTGTAAGATGCAGAATTTGGGAAGAACTCGCACAATCCTGAGAGTGAGCCCCTCTTTAAATCTGGTGACCTTAGTGCTCACTTGCTTCACTCTAGTGCGAGCCCTGGGGCAGGAAAACCCCTAATCTCCTGCTCCTCATTGGTTATGAGCCAATTGGTTGGGGACCTCATGGCTGTTACTGGTTCTCTTCCTGGTGTTATGCTGTTGCTGAAATTAGTGCCTAACACACCCCAAAGTCTGGTTGCGATGATAGCCTGGATAGGTTCTCCAGCTGATTTGGTCTTGCCATAGCCCTTGCTAAAGCTGCTGAGTCTTGGTCTCAGAAACAGTCACCCACATTATCTGTAAGGCAGTGCTGGTGTTCCTCAGACCAACTCCTCCAGGATCCACTCTCTGGAGCACACAGGCACTTCCCTCCATGCCACAAGTACACTGAAGGCAATTTAGAAAAGCTAAACCTTGACCTTCTCTCTGCCTAATCATGTGGGATGGCCAGGGGTCCTTTGATAAACTGTCCCCACTCCAGTTTGGAGCAGGGCAGCCTAGAGGTAAATTCTGCCCAGAGCCCTAAATGTTCCTTGAATCCAAACCAACTTGACATTGTCACTCCTTTAATTAATTCCATCATCCCCATTTGCTGCAGCCCAATATCCACAGTAGGGAGATCAGGACCCACAGTCCCACCGCTGACTCTCCTCTTCTTCCCACAAACACCCTGGCCTGAAGGATCAGGCTTCTGCTTTCTCATCAGATTTTGTATATCCTCCTCCAACTTGGGGCAGCAAGCCTTGTAGCCTAGCCAACACATGGAAGAGGTTTCTTCTCTACACTATGGAAGAAACTATGATCTAAATCATGCAGGTTTTCTTCTAGATATACTAAAAATACTATAAAATAAATAGATTTCCTATCCTCTTCTCTTTCTCTCTTCTTACATTCTTCCTTCTAAAGCCTGGCTTCAATTTTACTGTGAAGCCTAAATCTTATTTTAAATGTCAGAAGCTGATTACCTGTTTTAAATTTTTGCATGTCTGCTATCATTTTCCTAAAACTGAAGTAGATGAATGACTTGGGGCTAATTTGGGGATTCAGTAAAGCATACACAAGTGCAAAAAAAGAAAGCATATGCTATATTTTTTCAAAATATTACTCCTGTTGCATTTATCACTGATATGGTTTGGCTCTGTATCCCCAGCCAAATCTCATCTCAAATTCTAATCCCCACATGTCAAGGGAGGGACCTGTAATCCCCACATGTGGAGGAAAGGAAGTGGTTGGATTATGGGGGCAGTTTCCCCCATGCTGTTCTTGTGAGTGAGAGAATTCTCATGAGATCTGACGGTTTTATAAATGGTAGCTTTTCCTGCATGTACTCTCTCTTGCCTGCCCCATGTAAGACGTACCTATTCCCCATCTGTCATGATTTTAAGTTTTCTAAGGCCTCACTAGCCATGTGGAACCGTGAGTCAATTAAACATCTTTCCTTTATAAATTACCCAGTCTTGGATACTTCTTATAGCAGTATGAAAATGGACTAATACAATCACCTTGGGCAAGTTATAAATTTTTTTATTCTCTGGAGAAAAATACATTGTAATGGTACTAGCCACAGGATAATTGGGACAACTAAAATTCTGTGTGTATACAAAGACATATAAGGAAATATTACAGCAGTGTTGTTCATAATAATCCAAAACTAGAAACAATTCAAATGACCATCAACTGGTGAATGGGCAAAGAAAATGTTGTATATCCATATAATGAAATACTATTGGCAATAAAAATAAATGAACTATGGATATATGGTACAATATGGATGAATCTCAAAAACATTCTGCTATGTGAAAGAAGTCAGACTCAAAAGATTACACATCGTATGGTTCCATTTATTTGCAATGTCCAGAAAAGGCAAATGCACAAAGACAGAGAATTAAGCAGTCTAGGGCTGGGAGTGGGAATAGGAATGGGATTGACAGCAAAAAGCACAAGGAAACATTCTGGGGTGATGAAAATGTTCTCAAACTGGATTGTGACAATGCCTGTAGAACTTTATAAATTTACTAAAATCATTAAATTATACATGTGCAGTGAGTAGAGATTATATGTAATTATACCCCAATAATGCTATTTTTAAGTGTTTGTGTGTGCATATACACACCAAGGAGCATGTGTGCATGAAAACACACACAAACACACACACACACACACATACACACACACAGTGCCTGGCACAGAATAAGCACTTAAAAATGTTGGTCACATTTATTATCATATTATTGAAATGTTTATTATTATTAAACTCCATATTTTACATCATTTGAATGGGCTATTGCCTTAAAATAATTTTGGGCACTATTTATGTTTAGGGGGTTATTTGTTTAGTTGTACTACCTATTATCAAATTCTCAGCATCTTCAGAAATTCCACGAGGTATACAGAAGGTTAGCAAATGTCTTCATTATTTTATTGTACTTTAGAATCAAAGGCAAATATCTATTAGAGTATTATTAGAATCCTCATTTGCTCTTTGGCTGTTGTGAAAGTCAGTTTTCCAAATCACAATATTTGAGACTAAAAATAAATACATAAAAATGAAAGCATTCAAGACACCTGCTTCACTCAAATGCTAGAGCCTTTTTATAGAATGCTAACATTGAAACCCTTGCCTTTGGTTTGTATAAAAGATGCTTCTTCCTTAATGCTTAAAAGCATAACTACTTAGAGTTTATGGTTATTTGTCCTATTCATAAGGTAATTTCTGTTTCAACAGAAAGAGAAACCTGAGGCACACATGCACCTCTCCGGTAAGCAAGTGCTCAGGCACAACTTCACACTGCTTCCTGAAAGGAGCTATTGTGCTCCACATTAGATATGACTCACCATCCAATCTACACTCGCCAGGGCCCAAGACCTTGTTACGCTTCCTTTCCATTTGGCCAGTTTCCAAAATTTATTCCTTTTGTCTCCCCAAACTGGTCTTTTTCCTCCAGTCATCCAGGTTCCTAATTACCCAATCCCCTGATAACAACTGCCCCCGCTTGCTCAACTCTGCCATTGAGATTTTACTGCTGCCATTGTCCCTACCACAGATGTCTTCATTCCTCCAAGTCCCGCCAACTGCTAGGTGGCCTGGCTTAAGATTCCTCTCTTTCTCTCCATCCATATCCCTCCTTTGACTCAACGCTAGGAACAATTTACCCTCACGTATGCATTTATTTCAGAATGAGTGGCATTTTCTTCTCAGCATTAGTTACAATCTTCTCATAGACGAAGACCCTGGCTCCTACTTCTTTGACAGCCCGCTTTGCGCTAATCTGAGGAATGTACCTCCTGCTGCTCACTCTCTCTTGTGCATGTGCTCACTGAGGAAATGCCATACTGAATTGCCCACACAATTTCCTCTCTCCCTACACAGAGGTGAATTCCCTTAGCTCAGTGATTCTCAAAGCCCAGCATCAGCATCACCTAGAAACTTGATAAAATGCAGATTCTCAAGCCCTATCCCAGAGTGACTGAACCTGAAATTCTGAGAGTAGAGCCCAGTAATCTGTATTTTAACAAGCCCTCCAGGTGATTCTGATGCACACTTAAATTGGAGAACCACTGCCCTGTGTGGTTCAACTTGACTCTAATTGAGATCAGGGGAGCTGTAACCCTCAAACTCATCACTGTATTACCCATGCTTCTAAATTGTCAGCTGCCCCTTCAAGAGACCTCTGTCACCCTCCAGACTACTTTGCCTTTATGGTAGCCAGACAACCACAAAATGAGGGAGAAAGCAAATCAACTGGTTAACTTCCCAGACTGTTTCCAGAGCTGAGCTGACATTATTAATGATAATCATCAAAGATGCTGATGGAAGTGAAAAAGTACTTTCGGTGAAAACCATCTTGGCTTGTGTTCCACTGGAAACAGGGGTGGGAAAGGGCCAGCTTTTGGCAAGTGGAGGAGCGCCTATGTAAAGGAAAGATAATTTGCTGCAAAGCTTTGAGCAGGACTTAGAAAGTGAAAATGCAGTGATCTTAAAACTTTTATTCTAAAACAAGTGGCAATCCCTAAAGTACCAATGATATTCTTCAAAGAAACGGGGGGGGAAAGCCCTAAAATGTATATGGAACCACAAAAGACACAAATAGCCAAAGCAATCCTGAACAAAAAGAACAAAGTTAAGGCATCACCCTACCTGACTTCAAAATTTACTACAGAGCTATAGTAACTAAGCCAGCATGGTACTGGCATAAAACAGACATACAGACCAATGGAACAGAATAGAGAACCCAAATATAAATCCACACATTTACAGTCAACTTATCATAGACAAAGGTGGCAAGAACATACAATGGGGAAAGGACAATCTTTTCAATAAATGGTGCTGGGGAAACTGAATAACTATATGCAGAAGAATGAAACTAGAACCCTATATCTCACCCTACACAAAAATCAAATCAAAATGGATTAAAGACTTAAATCTAAGACCTGAAACTATGAAACTACTAGAAGAAAACATTGGGGAGATGCTCCAGGACATTGGTCTGGGCAAAGATTTTTTTCTATAAGACCTTAAAAGCATAGGCAACCAAAGCAAAAATAGACAAATGGGATTACATCAAGGTAAAAGGCTTTTGAACGGCAAAGGAAACTATCAACAGAGTAAAGTGACAACCCATAGAATGGGAAAAAATATTTGCAGACTATTCATCTGACAAAGATGAATAGCAAGTATATATAAGGTCAAAAAACTCAATGGCAAAAAAAACTAATAATCAATTTTTTAAATGGGCAAAAGATCTGAACAGACATTTCTCAAGATATACAAATGGCCAAAGGGTATACAAAAAGCCACTCAACATCATTAATCATCAGAGAATTGCAAATCAAAACCACAATGAGATGTCATTTCACCCCAGTTAAAGTGGCTTGTATCCAAAAGACAAGCAAGAACAGATGCTGGCAATGATGGGGAGAAAGGGGAATCCTCATACACTGTTGGTGGGAATGTAAATTTGGCCTGGCACAGGGGCCCACATCTGTAATCCCAACACTTTGGGAGACCAAGATAGGCAGACCACTTGAGCCCAGGAGTTCAAGACCAGCCTGGCCAACATGGTGAAACTCCATCTCTAATAAAATACAAAAAATTAGCCAGGCACGGTGGCGCATGCCTGTAATCCAGCTACTCAGGAGGTTGAGGCAGGAGAATCACTTGAACCTGGGAGGCAGAGGTTGCAGTGAGACGAGATATGGCGCCACTGCACTCCAGCCTGAGTGACAGAGACTCTGTCTCAATAAATAAATAAATAAATAAATAAATAAATAAATAAATAAATAAGTACAGCCACTAAGGAAAGCTGTATAGAAGTTCCACAAAAATCTAAAAATAGAACTACCATATGATTCAGCAATTCCACTCCCAAGTATATAACCAAATGAAAGGAAATCAATATACTGAAGAGATATCCCATGTTTATTTCAGAACTATTCACAATAACCAAAATATGAAATAAACCTAAGTGTTCATCATCAGATGACTGAATTAAGAAAATATGATAAGTATACACAGTGGAATATTACTCAGTCATAAAAAGGAATGAAATCCTGTCCTTTGCAGAAACATGGATGGATCTGCAGGTCATTATGTTAAATGAAATAAGTTAAGCACAGAAAGACAAATATTGCATGTTCTCACTCATATGTGGGAGCTAAAAAATGGATCTCATGAAGATAGAGAGTAGAATGGTGCCTACCAGAGGCTGGGAAGGGTAAGGAGGGCAGGTGGCATGAAGGTAAAAAAAAAAAAAAGGATATAAATGTATTTATTATCAATGAAGTGTACACTTAAAAATGGTACAGATGGTAAATTTTATATATTTTTACCACAACTAAAAATGTTTCTAAAAGTGGAGAAGGCACAGAAGTTCTCCTTCAAATAGATGCAATAAATATATGATATTAGCAGAATATAAAGGAGTTTGATTTTTAATTTTTAAAAAATTGTTTTAACGTATCACTCATTTTAATATTTGGAGCTTCTGAGAATTCACTCCCTTTTTTATGGTCTGAAAAAATAATACACTTTAAACTTCTTTTGAAAAGAAAATAAGAGTGGAAGGTAGTGTATTTGCCTCAATTACATGGGTTTTACAGATACCCAAAGGAGGGAGGGGCAGTGAAGTCCAGGTGAATAAAAACCTCAAACATTTATTGAGTACCTCTGATATGTGAGGATTTCTGCTAAGAGGTGATCACCACCTCCACCACCAAACCACCATCATCTCTCACCAGAACAATTGCAAGAGCCTCCCAACAGCTTTTTCAAGAATGAAAACACCCTTTTGTCCTGCATACACCAGCTCCAGATACTTCTGAAATACAAACCAGCTTATGTGACTCCCCTATTCAACTCCCCACCCCCAAGACTTCCATCATACTCACACTAAAGTCCAAAGCCCTAACCTTGACCTACTCAGCCCTTGGTGAACAGTCCTCTTCCCCCTCTACCTCTAAACTCTTATCCTGCTACTCTGCTCCTCCACCATGCCACTCCGCCCCTCCACCGTGCCACTCCAGACCCTCTTGCCATCCTGCTGCATTACAAACACACCAAGAACATTCCCACCTCAGAGCCTTTGCATTAGCTGTTCCGTCTGCCTGGAACACTCTTCCCACAGATAGCCACATGGCTATTTTCTGCACTTCTTTCAGTCTCTATTTAAATGTCATGGGATCAGAGAAGCCACGTACATAAAATAGCACACACATATATACCTCTCCTTTCATTCTCTCTCCCCTTATTCACCTTTTTCTTCATACCTATGTATTATATTTTTTAGCCTTATCCTCTAAAATATAATCTCCATAAAAGCAGAGATTTTATCTGTTTTATTCACTGAAATATCCTCAGCATCTAGAACAGCATCTGACACATAGTAGGTGCTTAGGTGCTCAGTAAATTTTTGTTGGATGCAATAATTGTTAAATGGATGAGTGAATGTGAGGTGCTAAGGATACAAAGATAAGCTACAAATCCCTGCCATCGATGAGCTCAGTATTGGGTTCATATTTACATCCTTTCTCCACTTGAAGAAATTAAAATTGATGGCAGATGTGAATTAGGCAAGGTTCTCACATTCACAGATCGAAAATGTACAAACATATTGGCCCCTCAATTGTTTTTGTAAACATCTGGTAAATCAAATTTATCTAGTAGGACTCATGAGAACAACCACTTTAAAATTCTGTGTCTTCTTAAAAACCAATCTGTCACTATTGGCCAGAACAAGCAACATTACTTCTCTCTGTTTGATGGTGGAGCCAGGTGTCTAGAAGTAACTTAATAACTGAGAGGTGACTTTTCTCAAGAAAAAAAAAATGATGCACCTTTAAATGCTTCTGACTGCAAGGACAACAAGATTTATGGTTTAACCAACGTGTAAAATACCTCACTTTATAAGTGATTCCCTGAAGAGTTGGAGAACACTCAATAACCCCTCTTCCATGAAGACAAGCAAAATAATCATTACTATTAGAAATGCAGTTTGCTCATTAAGTCAGAGTAGCGTGTCATGATTGACATCAGCAACATTTTTCCTCTCTCATGGTTTGTTTTAATGAAGGTGACATTATAAAGACATTCTCTCTCACTTTAACCCTGTTGTGGAATAAAATAATTTTAAAAACAACCTCCTGAAATAGCTTGCTGTTTGTATAATTTGTTCCCTTGGTTGGTGTCTTTTTATACGTTGGACTTATGAAATAACTTAGCTTTTAGCATGAACCAGGGTCTGTTGGTGAAATATTCACCAACCATTGTACAGCAATGCCCTGGCAGAACCTAACTCAGGCATCATCTTCAAAGGTCAAATATAAAAATATATCTAAGGATCTTAAGTCAGATCAAGTTAGTATCCAATAGAAGTATTTCTTACACAAACCTGAAGAAAATGGAAAGTATTACAAAGGTAGAAGCCTGAACCCTTATGAGTTGATCTTGTATGGGCTGGTATCCCATCTATGAATATACTCAGAGAAAGGGGCTGTATGAGTTCTCATCTCCCTGGGAGGAGGGCATCCACAGGAAAGCACCTCCCATGCCAAGCCAGGAAAGTGGGGCTTTCCAGTGGGAATTGGTCCTCCAGTCCTCCAAAGGGCTCCCGGTATGGGGACTGACGGTTTGGAAGTTTCCTCTGGACCCATAATGACAAGCATCCTGCTACTAACCTGGCATCAAAGATTGGTCCAACAAGAGTTTCGTTCCATCACACGCAATGTTCCTGCCTCAGAAAGAGTCAGAAGCCTGAAGGGCTGCTTGGTAAGATGTCCTGTTTCCAAAGAACGGCACCTAGAGAGGGCTCCACTGTGTGGTCCTCATGGCTGTAACTCCCTAGAGGGGTTTCAATTCCAAAAGCCTTGGCATTAAAGCTCCACCCAAGCTGGATGGGCAATCAGGAACCCAGTAAGCATGAAGGGATCTAAGCTTTCCTTGGCCTTCAGATCCTAGCCTAAGCTGCTTCTGGCCGCATAGCTTTCTACTCTGAGGGATACGTTGTGTGTTTCTCAGAGCTAAAGAGTAGGCAGCAGACCCAAGGACATAACCACAGTGCTCAAGCAATCTACCAGTGAGTACTTCAAGAAAGGGAGCTGCAATGTTTTATTAGCCAAAACTTACCAAGATATTGACTAATGAAATTGAAATAGAGGAGCCAGGAGGGGAGAAGTGTCTGTGAGTAAGAGAGGATGAAAAGCTTTTGCTAACATGTCAATGAAAGATCCAAGCAGCCTGGGAACTGAATATCTCTCAGAGTCTCTTTAGTCTCAAACTAAAATGGCATTGAAAGAAAAGAGACTATAGAAAGTGCTTGATGAAGTTTAACAGTGGACAAGAAGTCAAATGAGAAGCTCCATACCCACATGGAGAGAGGAATTTGGAATAAAATAAAGAAAGTAAACAAGATGTCAAAGGGACTCTAAGTATCAGGAATGCTAGAGGTTAGAGGTTCCTGGGGAAACTAGTGTATTAGTCCCTTCTCACACTGCTATGAAGAAATACCCAAGACTGGGTAATTTATAAAGGAAAGAGGTTTAATTGACTCACAGTTCTGCATGGTTGGGGAGGCCTCAGGCCTCAGGCCTCATGGCAGAAGGCATCTCTTCATAGGGTGGTAGGGGAGAGACTGAGTGCCCAGCGATGGGGGAAGCCCCTTATAAAACCATCAGATCTCATGAGAACTAACTCACTATCACAAGAACAGGATTGGGGGTAACTGCCCCCATGATTCAATTACTTCCCCCTGGTCCCTCCCACAACATGTGGGGATTATGGGAACTACAATTCAAGTTGAGATTTGGGTGGGGACACAGCCAAACCATATCAACCAGGTTAGATCTTTAACCTAATATATATTAAATGTATAATATATATTAAATACTATAGATTATATTAATATATACCTAACCTTATGTATAATACATATATTTTAACATTTTTATATATTATACTTTAATATTATATTACAGAGAAAATATTATATAGAGAAAACAGCTGGTAACCAATAGTCCTTATGAATAACAGCAAATAACATTAGAGAAAAAATGTTACAGAAATTTGAGAAAAAACTAACGGAAGACTTTATAGTACCCAAAGCATTTCGATGGATATAAATACCTCAAGTGGAGTAGTGGCCCTCACAGCTTATGATTGTAAGAGTACTAGCCCACCACTAATAGCTTCCCAATGGACTATTACAGCAGCATGAAATTAATCCAAGTGAGATTGGGCCCCCAAACTTACAGATTCATCCCATTGTAAAATGTTTACTAGAGTAATTCAGAGGCATTTGCCCTATCAGCCTTCATCATCTCAGTGTAAGTGAAAAGAAGTACTCAGCCACAGTTAATCACATGAGTTCCGGTCTCAGATAAACCTAGGTTTGGACCTTAGCTCTACCTCTCATGAGCCGGTGGGTCCTGGACAAGTTTCTTACCCTCCAAACCTGTTTCCTCACATAAATTGATTATGCCCATCTCATAAATTGTTGTAAGAGTTAAATGAGCTAATGAAGAGTAAAGCATTTGGCACAGTGCATGTACTAGACTCAAACTAAAATGGCACTGAAAGAGAAAAGGCTCTAGGAAGTGCTTGATTAAGCTGAACAGTGGACAAGAAGTCAAATGAGAAGCACCATACCTACATGGAAAGAGGAATTTGAATCATTTACAAAGAGATTGACTGAAATTTTTCTTTGGACTAATCCTGACAGGTGGACCCTGAGTCTACATCCTATTCATCTTTTGCCTGTGAATTACCAAAAGTTGGCCAAGAGAAGAGTTCAACGTATCTTTCTCAAAACAAATTGAATTTGTGAATGAGGCCAGACTTCAGACTTCTATCTAGCAATATTTTATCCCACTCAAATACCTACATCTGTTGTTTTTCATTTTCAACACTAAATAGAATATTTAGGGGCTAATGTATTCCCTTATTTAGTTCACATGACTAAGAATGGTGTGTGAAAATGGCTAAATATTTTTTAAACTTACTGTTAAGTAGCTGCCATGTGCCTACAAAACATCTGCATCCCGCACTGCAGGGAAAAAGAAAGAAAAGAAACAGAACCCCATTTTTAAGAGGGAAAAGAAAATCTAAATGGGCACAAAAAGTATCAAAAGACATGGAGGAAGTGATATGGCCTTTTACACAGAAAAGCAACAACAATATATTGTTTTAAAATAGAGAAAATATCTCTTTAAAATCTAGCTTTTAAAAAAGGTCAGAGAAGTTTAAGGTTTATTCAAGTGTAAATGTCAATTGGAATAAGTGACACCTTTGAGAAAATGGGGAGCCCACTGACCTTTTATCCAAAAGAAGGCCAGAAATGCTGTCTAGGAAGGGTGAAGGGCAGAAAAATTTTAGAAGGATTTTGAATGAGGGAAAGAAACCAGAATGAAGGGAAATCTAATATCCAAAATACCTAGTTCCATACACTGAATGCTTTTAGTTGCAAAGCCATACTCAATATGGTTAAATCAAAAGGTGATGCAGCAAGTGCATGCTTCAGGAGAGGTTTCACCAGGTCTCAATGCAATCCCAGACTAGCTCTCACCATTTCTCAACTGTTTTAACTTCAGAACTGGGCTTCATTATCTGACACATTTTTCCCTGGTAGTGTCCAGAATCTTCCATGTTTACATAGAAAGAATCTGCTCATTGGGCAACTTAAATAATATCCCAGAAGTCTGCCTTCTCTTGATGGGTGTAACCTGAATTATGTGCTCATCCCAGAGCCAATCACCATAATTATGGGTGTAGAATGTACTAACTGGTTCATACCCTTCAGAGGCTGTCTGTGGAGCTGATAGTCAGGTCCCTTTCACCCTAACCACATGGCTTGGAATATTGTGATATATAATAAAAGCTGGACTATGAGGAACAAACACAAGGTAAGCAACAAATAATAAATACTTCCTACACAGGGCGACTAGGTTTCTATTTGAAAATAATCTTCATACCTGTAATTAACCTTCTTAAGAGAATGGCATTCAAGCATTCTTACAAACCTCACAAGCTCATCACAAGATACATCTAGCATTTAAAGAAATGGAATCTATGAAGAAGCACCACCGACTAAACTTTGCAGAAAAATCTGTTTTTATCACAGTTGGTGGGAAAAAAATTTCATTAAGTATTCAAAAGATGTTCACCAGTTTAGACTAGTTTATAAGGTTCTTCATAATCAAGCCCCATATGCCTTTCTAGCTTTATCTCAAGACGCTATGCTCACTTCACACTTTTTATACAGTCAACATCTTTACCAGACTTCTCACCATTTCCCCCAAAGCATCATGATTTTTACATGTCCATGCTTTTATTTTTATTTACTTATTTATTTTTGAGATGGAGTCTCGCTCTTTCACCAGGCTGGAGTGCAGTGGCACAATCTCAGCCCCCTGCAACCTCCACCTCCCGGGTTCAAGCGATTTTCCTGCCTCAGCCTCCCAAGTAGCTGGGACTACAGGCACACACCACCACACCCAGCTAATTTTTGTATTTTTAGTAGAGACATGGTTTCACCGTATTGGCCAGGATAGTCTCAATCTCTTGACCTCATGATCTGTCCGCCTCGGCCTCCCAAAGTGCTGGGATTACAAGCTTGAGCCACAATGCCCCGTCGTGTCCATGCTTTTAGATTGCATTTTTATTATTCTATTTTATTTCCATTATTAACTTATTATTTATACTTCTTATTCTAATATTTTCAGTTGGTGCCCTAGGACTTATTAGTCTACCTTCAAATAATGTTATATTACTTCATATAGTGTGTAAGGACTTTACTCTTCTTATGCTCACTCTTCCAATTCCTCCCTCCCATCTTTTGTGATGTTGTTAACATACACTTTACCCTTACATACATTATACACCAAAATACATTATTAGTCTTTTTTCTTTAGGCAGTCAATTCACTTTTAGAATGATTAAAAATAATAATAGGATTTATTTCTATTTATCTTCAATTTTAACCATTTTCAGAACTCTATTATTTTGCTTCCATTCAAGGTTCCATCTGGCGTTATATCACCTATGCCTGAAGAACTTTTTTTGTAGCACAGGTCTGCTGATAATACATTCTTTCAACTTTTGTTTATCTTGACATTTTTAAATTTTACCTTCAGGTTTGTTTGTTTGTTTGTTTTGAGACTGATCTCAGCTCACTGCAATTCCGCCTCCCAGGTTCAAGCGATTCTCCTGCCTCAGACTCCAAAGTAGCTGGGATCACAGGTGTGCACCACCATGCCCAGCTAATTTTGTATTTTTAGTAGCAACAGGGTTTCACCATGATGGTCCTGATGGTCTCAAACTCCCGACCTCAGGTGATCTGCCCACCTCAACCTCCCAGAATGCTGGGGTTACAGGTGTAAGCCACAGCGCCCATCCTACTCTCAGTTCTGAAAGCTATTTTCACTGGGTGTAAAATTCTGGGTGGTCATGGTTTGTTTTCCACTTAAAGATGTCACACTCTATTGCCTACTGATTTGCATATCTTCTGAAAGAAGTCAGCTATAATTCTTACCTTTAATGTATGGTATGTGTCTTTTTTTCTGTGGGTGTTTTCACTATTTTCTTGTTGTTACTGGTTTTGGGCAGTTTGAACATGGCTTAGTTGTGTTTGTTGTTGTTGAGTTTTTCTGGAGTTTGTTATGTTTTGTTTTGGGGACTTTTGTTTGCTTGTTTTTATCATCCTACTTGGAGTTTTCTGAGCTTCCCAGATCTGTAGTTTGATGTCTTTTATTATTTTTTTTATATCAGCTGTTATGTCTTCAAATATTTATTCTGCTCTGTTCTCTTTCTGCGATTCCACTTATACAAATACCAAACTGTATCATAGCTCTCAGATATTCATTTATGTTTCATTTCTCATTGTGTTGCAGTTTGGCAATTCCTACTGACCTATCTCCAAGCTCATTGATTCTTTTCTCAGCTGTGTCAAGTTTACTGGTGACCCATCAGAAAAATCATTTACCTCTGATTTATGTGACGTTTTTGTTTGTTTCTAGCATTTCCATTTGACTTGTTCTTATACTTTCCATTGCTCCTGAAATTCTCCATATGTTCATGTATCTTGTCCACCTATATATGTGATATAAAATTATATTGTAAATATAATTATTTTAAAGTTCCTGACTGATCTAAAGTTCTGAAATCCTGGTCATCTCGGAGTCTGGTTCTGTTGATTGCTTTTTCTTTTGGCAAGAGTTTTCTTTAAATGTTTTGTGTGTCCCATAACATCTTATTGAATCCCAGATATTTTATGTAGAGCAGTAAGAGTAACAGTACTTCTGCCTTGAAATGGGCATGCCTTTTCTTTGGTAAGGCTATTAGTACAGGGGTTAAGTCAATCTAACAAATTTAACGCAGGAGAGGCTAGAAGTGCATTCATACAGTTGGACTTGATCTCTTGGGCCTCTGCCTTTCCCTGTAGCAACAATGAGTCTTTACCTAGTCCCTGTAAGTTATAGGGTGCTGCCCTTCCCCAGCAATTTAAAAGTGTGGCTATGTAGGAAATATGGTTCAGGGTAAGAGGGTGGGCTTTGTGCCTTTCTTTCTCACAGTGACCAGCCCCTCCCCCATGCCTGCATAAATGAGGATGGCTCTCTGGTCTCTTGTTCTTCCCCCAGTCTTTCTTGTGAGGGCTTGGCAAACATCTATAGAAAAGAGCCTGCAACTGGGTACAAACTCCTCTTGTGTCAGGAGGTCCCTGGGATTTTCTTCTTCTTTAGGCTGCCCATACTCAGCCTAAAGAAACTCATGAAAATGTTAGTTGATTTATCTTTCTCATTTATATAGCAGCCTCCCCTGCTTCCTATGTTCCATCACAGAGGAGACACTTCACATGTTCGTTCTTTCCTCAGAGGGACCTCTCCCTTCTCAGAATTCAGGCTATTTGCTTGTTCTGTGACCTCAGCTCTCTAATGGGTCTAAAAACAGTTAGGATTTTGTAGTTTCACTGGCTTTTCTCATGGTTAGAATGGGAGTGATGCTCATTCCAGCTTTCTGCATCCTTGTCTTAGTCTGCGTGGGCTGCTATAACAAAACATCACAAGTTAGATTTCTTATAAACAAAAGAAATTTCTTATAAAGAAATGTCTTATAAACAAAAGAAATCTCTCACAGTTCTGGAGGCTGGGAAGTCCTAGATCAAAGCACCAGCAGATTCAGTGTGTGGTGAGAGCCTGCTTTCTGTTTCATAGTCAGCACCTTCTGTGTCTTCACATGGTGAAAGGGCAAGGGATATATTAGGCCTCATTTATAAAGGCACTAATCCCATTAATGAGACTCTTCCCTCATTACCTAGTCAATTCCCAAAGACCCCCTTTTTAATATCATCACCTTGGGGGTTAGAAATTTTATAAATGAATTTGAAGGGTTCACAAACGTTCAGCCTATAGTACTCCTCTATGCTTTTATACACTAACAATAATAAGAGCTAATATTTAATACATACTTATTATGTGCCTGGGATAGTGCTATGGGATTTACATGGATTTGCTCGTTTAATCCTCACCATTATTACATTCATTTTCTGGGTTGGGAAACCAAGATACAGAGAAGTTATTTGCCTAGGTCTCGCAGCTGCTAAATGGTGGGAACTGAATACAAACCCAGACAGTGTGGCTCAAGGGCAGTGATATGATTCTATAATGTTGCCTCTTTTCCTTGGGGGCAGGGAGCAGTCTTTATTCTTGTATGTATCCTTCCAGAGTCTATCACATTGCCTCATTCAAAGGAAACTTTCGGCCAATGACTGTTTAAAGAAGGAATTAGGCTGGGTACAGTGGCTCACGCCTGTAACCCCAGCACTTTGGGAGGCCCAGGCGAGCAGATCATGAGGTCAAGAGTTCGAGACCAGCCTGGCCAATGTGGTGAAACCCCATCTCTACTAAAAATACAAAAATTAGCCAGGCATGGTGGTGCGCACCTGCAGTCCCAGCTACTCGGGAGGTTGAGGCAGAAGAATTGCTTGAACCTGGGAGGCAGAGGTTGCAGTGAACCAAGATCACACCACTGTACTCCAACCTGGGTGACAGAGCGAGACTCTGTCTCAAAAAAAAAAAAAAAAAAAAAAAGGAAGGAATTAATTGCCTCTCTCTTGCCCCTGGAAGTCAAAGTTGGGTTTGGAAGCAGTGACCTGGTGATGGGCTCACCCAGTTTTGTCTCTTCCTACCTTCCAGTATCACACACAGGAACAGTGTGTCACAATACATGACGAGAAAATGTTTCTTTTTTTTTCTTGTTTTTCCTTTTCTTTTTCTTTTTTCTGTTTGCCGGATACCTGTTAGAGAAAAATTTCTTGTATCTTGAACAATCTCCTTCTTGCACTCAACAAGTCAATCCATAACAAGAAAGCAATGATTGATGACTTTTCTGCCAAGTGATGCTTGCTTGATTAAGAGAAAATATGGTACATATTTCCTATGATTTTTCCTAAACTTTCACCACAGAGACTGGAAGTTTAGACATTGCTCTAACAAGCTATGGTTTCACAACATGTGATTTTACCCTACTTTCATTGTGATTAAGCAATAAAACCTTAAAGGGCAAAATCTATAAATTGTACTTTTCTGTATCCCACACGGTACCTGTCACAAAGCTCTACAAATACCGTTGAATGAAGAAATGGAAAAGATTAACTTCAACCACTTCAATGTTGCAGTCCAAATAAACCATTTCAGAATGACATTCTTCCACTGAATGCTGGAAGTTTTTAGGAGACATATAATTCAAAGGCTTGGAACCCAACTGTTTCAGGGATAAGTCAGTTTTATCCCAGGTGAATGAATGTCACCGTTAAATCTTTTTACTGGATATTCTTCTTCTGATTCTTCAATCTGAAAGGCTTCTGGACTTGGGAAATACAAACTTTAGGTTCTTGTCCAACTTTTGCCATATTTTAGCCACAGGACATTAAAACAGGGATAATCATATTTTAGATGCTGAGTTGTTGTACAAATTGAATGAGCAGACAAGTGCAAAATACCTCAATAATTACAAAGTACTATACAAATGCCTGTATTTTTACTATAGTCGTTTCCACTTGGGTTGGTGCATTTTAATGCTATTCTTAATAATTAGAATAATAATAAAAAATGATTTTTATTTAAGGCTCACAAGGATCTAGGCTATAATCTAATTTAACCTTCACAAAATTCCTATATGTTAGATACTATCATTTAGCCCCATTATGTTAGGAAACTCTGAGACTCAGCAAGTTTAAAGGGTTGGATTAAGGTCACAGAGAGTAAATTACAAGGTTTGGATTCAAACCCAGGCATCTACTCCAGAGCCCTGCTCTTAAGCACAGCACTCTTTTGCTTTCCAAAGAGAAGGCAGAGATTTTGTTCAAATCCAGTTACAAGGAAGCTGGCTGGAGAAATTATGGGCTAGCTAATGGGTTCTGCACTTGACTCTCATCTCTACACCATTCCCAGGTGACCTCCTCTACTCTTACTGCTTCAACCATCATCTATATGTGAACAGTATCCAAACCTCTGTCTTCCTGACCTCTGATTCCATCCATGCACCCAACCATTCAGGCATTCATTCAGCAAATACTCATTAAGCATCTACATGTCATGCCTGAGCTAGATGTTGGATAGAGCATAAGATAAATAAGGGACCTGATCTCATGGAGTTTATTCTATACTGGGAGGGAAAAAGCAATGAACAAATTAATTCATTAAGATACAATAATTTCACATACTATTACATTATATGAATATATCATCATTCATTTAACCAGTGACCTATTGGATGGCCATTTAGGTACTTTCTCATCTTTTGCAATTATACACAGTGCTACAGTGAATAACTGTTTACACAAACCAACATATAAATGTTAAAGTAAACCACAAGATAAAACTTAGAAATGAAGTTCCTGTGTCAAAGGTCATGGACATTTTAAATTTTGATAGAAATTACCAAATTGTGCACCATAAAAATTATGCCAAAGTATTATCCCAGCAAAAAATATAAAAATTCCTAATTCTCCACATTCTCTCTTCCATAAATGTGAACTGGACATATCACATACAAACTGTACATTGGATTTTTGACACATTGATTAAGAGGTGAGCATGCACCTGCGAGGACAAAAAACCAAACACCGCATGTTCTCACTCATAGGTGGGAATTGAACAATGAGAACACTTGGACACAGGAAGGGAAACATCACTGGGGCCTGTTGTGGGGTGGGGGGATGGGGGAGGGATAGCATTAGGAGATATACTTAATGTAAATGTTGAGTTAATGGGTGCAGCACACCAACATGGCACATGTATACATATGTAACAAACCTGCACGTTGTGCACATGTACCCTAGAACTTAAAGTATAATAAAAGAATATACAAAAAAAAGTGTGGTAAGGCAGATAGTGAGAAGAAAGGATACAGCAGAAGGATGACAAAGGTCTTTTAACCCTATAGTGTGCTTAGCACCATTCTAGGAGCATTATGGTTGCACCATAGCCAGGAATATTCATCAGCAAATTAAGAGGTGAAAGAAATAGGATTTGATCGGCCGGGCGCAGTGGCTCATGCTTGTAATCCCAGCCCTTTGGGAGGCCAAGGCGGGCAGATCACGAGGTCAGGAGATTGAGACCATCCTGGCCAACATGGTGAAACCCCATTTCTCCAAAAAAAAAATACAAAAATTAGCTGGGCATGGTGGCACACACCTTTAGTCCCAGCTACTAGGGAGACTGTGGCAGGAGAATAGCTTGAACCAGGGAGGCAGAGGTTGCAGTGAGCTGAGATTGTGCCACTGCACTCCAGCCTGGGCAACAGAGTGAGACTCCATCTCAAAAAAAAAAAAAAAAGAAAGAAAGAAATAGGATTTGATCACTGATCATTTCTTTTGCAAACTTGAAAGCAAAGCAATTGTACTAACAACTGTGCTTGCATCTACTCCCCTATCTACAATTATAACACCCTTAATGTTATCTTTACTTCCTTTTTATTTATTTTTAATTAATTTTTATTTTTTTATATTTTATTATTATTATACTTTAAGTTTTAGGGTACATGTGCACAATGTGCAGGTTAGTTACATATGTATACATGTGCCATGCTGGTGTGTTGCACCCATCAATTCGTCATTTAGTATTAGGTATATCTCCTAATGCTATCCCTCCCCCTCCCCCCACCCCACAACAGTCCCCAGAGTGTGATGTTCCCCTTCCTGTGTCCATGTGTTCTCATTGCTCAAGTCCCACCTATGAGTGAGAACATGCGGTGTTTGGTTTTTTGTCCTTGCGATAGTTTACTGAGAATGATGATTTCCAATTTTACCCACGTCCCTGCAAAGGACATGAACTCATCATTTTTTATGGATGCATAGTATTCCATGGTGTATATGTGCCACATTTTCTTAATCCAGTCTATCATTGTTGGACATTTGCATTGGTTCCAAGTCTTTGCTATTGAGAATAGTGCTGCAATAAACATACGTCTGCATGTGTCTTTATAGCAGCATGATTTATAGTCCTTTGGGTATATATCCAGTAATAGGATGGCTGGGTCAAATGGTATTTCTAGTTCTAGATCCCTGAGGAATCACCACACTGACTTCCACAATGGTTGAACTAGTTTACAGTCCCACCAACAGTATAAAAGTGTTCCTATTTCTCCACATCCTCTCCAGCACCTGTTGTTTCCTGACTTTTTAATGATTGCCATTCTAACTGGTGTGAGATGGTATCTCATTGTGGTTTTGATTTGCATTTCTCTGATGGCCAGTGATGGTGAGCATTTTTTCATGTGTATTTGGCTGCATAAATGTCTTCTTTTGAGAAGTGTCTGTTCATGTCCTTCGCCCACTTTTTGATGGGGTTGTTTGTTTTTTTCTTGTAAATTTGTTGGAGTTCATTGTAGATTCTGGATATTAGCCCTTTGTCAGATGAGTAGGTTGCAAAAATTTTCTCCCATTTTGTAGGTTGCCTGGTCACTCTGATGGTAGTTTCTTTAGCTGTGCAGAAGCTCTTTAGTTTAATTAGATCCCATTTGTCAATTTTGGCTTTTGTTGCCATTGCTTTTGGTGTTTCAGACATGAAGTCCTTGCCTATGTCCTGAATGGTAATGCCTAGGTTTTCTTCTAGGGTTTTTATGGTTTTAGGTGTAACGTTTAAGTCTTTAATCCATCTTGAATTAATTTTTGTATAAGGTGTAAGGAAGAGATCCAGTTTCAGCTTTCTACATACGGCTAGCCAGTTTTCCCAGCACCATTTATTAAGTAGGGAATCCTTTCCCCATTGCTTGTTTTTCTCAGGTTTGTCAAAGATCAGATACTTGTAGATATGCGGCATTATTTCTGAGGGCTCTATTCTGTTCCATTGATCTATATCTCTGTTTTGGTACCAGTACCATGCTGTTTTGGTTACTGTAGCCTTGTAGTATAGTTTGAAGTCAGGTAGCATGATGCCTCCAGCTTTGTTCTTTAGGCTTAGGATTGACTTGGTGATGCTGGCTCTTTTTTGGTTCCATATGAACTTTAAAGTAGTTTTTTCCAATTCTGTGAAGAAAGTCATTGGTTGCTTGATGGGGATGGCATTGAATCTATAAATTACCTTGGGCAGTATGGCCATTTTCACGATATTGATCCTTCCTACCCATGAGCGTGGAATGTTCTTCCATTTGTTTGTATCCTCTTTTATTTCATTGAGCAGTGGTTTGTAGTTCTCCTTGAAGAGGTCCTTCACGTCCTTTGTAAGTTGGATTCCTAGGTATTTTATTCTCTTTGAAGCAATTGTGAATGGGACTTCACTCATGATTTCGCTCTCTGTTTGTCTGTTATCGGCGTATAAGAATGCTTGTGATTTTTGTACACTGATTTTGTGTCCTGAGACTTTGCTGAAGTTGCTTATCAGCTTAAGGAGATTTTGAGCTGAGACAATGGGGTTTTCTAAATATACAATCATGTCATCCACAAACAGGGACAATTTGACTTCCTCTTTTCCTAATTGAATACCCTTTATTTCCTTCTCCTGCCTAATTGCCCTGGCCAGAACTTCCAACACTGTTGAATAGGAGTGGTGAGAGAGGGCATCCCTCTCTTGTGCCAGTTTTCAAAGGGAATGCTTCCAGTGTTTGCCCATTCAGTATGATACTGGCTGTGGGTTTGTCATAGATAGTTCTTATTATTTTGAGATACGTCCCATCAATACCTAATTTATTGAGGGTTTTTAGCATGAAGCGTTGTTGAATTTTATCAAAGGCCTTTTCTGCATCTATTGAGATCATCATGTGGTTTTTGTCTTTGGTTCTGTTTATACGCTGGATTACATTTATTGATTTGTGTATATTGAACCAGCCTTGCATCCCAGGGATGAAGCCCACTTGATCATGGTGGATAAGCTTTTTGATGTACTGCTGGATTCGGTTTGCCAGTATTTTATTGAGGATTTTTGCATCAATGTTCACCAAGGATATTTGTCTAAAATTCTCTTTTTTGGTTGTGTCTCTGCCAGGCTTTGGTATCAGGATGATGCTGGCCTCATAAAATGAGTTAGGGAGGATTCCCTCTTTTTCTATTGATTGGAATAGTTTCAGAAGGAATGGTACCAGTTCCTCCTTGTACCTCTGGTAGAATTCGGCTGTGAATCCATCTGGTCCTGGACTCTTTTTGGTTGGTAAACTATTAATTATTGGCACAATTTCAGAGCCTGTTATTGGTCTATTCAGAGATTCAACTTCTTCCTGGTTTAGTCTTGGGAGAGTGTATGTGTCCAGGAATTTATCCATTTCTTCTAGATTTTCTAGTTTATTTGCATAGAGTTGTTTGTAGTATTCTCTGATGGTAGTTTGTATTTCTGTGGGATCGGTGTTGATATCCCCTTTATCATTTTTTATTGCGTCCATTTGATTCTTCTCTCTTTTTTTCTTTATTAGTCTTGCCAGCGGTCTATCAATTTTGTTGATCCTTTCAAAAAAACCAGCTCCTGGATTCATTAATTTTTTGAAGGGTTTTCTGTGTCTCTATTTCCTTCAGTTCTGCTCTGATCTTAGTTATTTCTTGCCTTCTGCTAGCTTTTGAATGTGTTTGCTCTTGCTTTTCTAGTTCTTTTAATTGTGATGTTAGGGTGTCAATTTTGGATCTTTCCTGCTTTCTCTTGTGGGCATTTAGTGCTATAAATTTCCCTCTACACACTGCTTTGAATGTGTCCCAGAGATTCTGGTATGTTGTGTCTTTGTTCTCATTGGTTTCAAAGAACATCTTTATTTCTGCCTTCATTTCGTTATGTACCCAGTAGTCATTCAGGAGCAGGTTGTTCATTTTCCATGTAGTTGAGCGGTTTTGAGTGAGTTTCTTAATCCTGAGTTCTAGTTTGATTACACTGTGGTCTGAGAGACAGTTTGTTAAAATTTCTGTTCTTTTACATTTCCTGAGGAGAGCTTTACTTCCAACTATGTGGTCAATTTTGGAATAGGTGTGGTGTGGTGCTGAGAAGAATGTATATTCTGTTGATTTGGGGAGGAGAGTTCTGTAGGTGTCTATTAGGTCCTCTTGGTGCAGAGCTGAGTTCAATTCCTGGATATCCTTGTTAACTTTCCGTCTTGTTGATCTGTCCAATGTTGACAGTGGGGTGTTAAAGTCTCCCATTATTATTGTGTGGGAGTCTAAGTCTCTTTCTAGGTCTCTAAGGACTTGCTTTATGAATCTGGGTGCTCCTGTATTGGGTGCATATATATTTAGGATAGTTAGCTCTTCTTGTTGAATTGATCCCTTTACCATTATGTAAAGGCCTTCTTTGTCTCTTTTGATCTTTGTTGGTTTAAAGTCTGTTTTATCCGAGACTAGGATTGCAACCCCTGCCTTTTTTTGTTTTCCATTTGCTTGGTAGATCTTCCTCCATCCTTTTATTTTGAGCCTATGTGTGTCTCTGCACATGAGATGGGTTTCCTGAATACAGCACACTGATGGGTCTTGACTCTTTATCCAATTTGCCAGTCTGTGTCTTTTAATTGGAGCATTTAGTCCATTTACATTTAAAGTTAATATTGTTATGTGTGAATTTGATCCTGTCATTATGATGTTAGCTGGTTATTTTGCTCGTTAGTTGATGCAGTTTCTTCCCAGTCTCGATGGTCTTTACATTTTGGCATGGTTTTGCAGTGGCTGGTACCGGTTGTTCCTTTCCATGTTTAGTGCTTCCTTCAGGAGCTCTTTTAGGGAAGGCCTGGTGGTGACAAAATCTCTCAGCATTTCCTTGTCTGTAAAGTATTTTATTTCTCCTTCACTTATGAAGCTTACTTTGGCTGGATATGAAATTCTGGGTTGAAAATTCTTTTCTTTAAGAATGTTGAATATTGGCCCCCACTCTCTTCTGGCTTGTAGAGTTTCTGCCGAGAGATCCGCTGTTAGTCTGATGGGCTTCCCTTTGTGGGTAACCTGACCTTTCTCTCCGGCTGCACTTTACATTTTTTTCCTTCATTTCAACTTTGGTGAATCTGACAATTATGTGTCTTGGAGTTGCTCTACTCGAGGAGTATCTTTGTGGCATTCTCTGTATTTCCTGAATCTGAATGTTGGCCTGCCTTGCTAGACTGGGGAGGTTCTCCTGGATAATATCCTGCAGAGTGTTTTCCAACTTGGTTCCATTCTCCCCGTCACTTTCAGGTACACCAATCAGACGTAGATTTGGTCTTTTCACATAGTCCCATATTTCTTGGAGGCTTTGTTTGTTTCTTTTTATTCTTTTTTCTCTAAACTTCCCTTCTCGCTTCATTTCATTCATTTCATCTTCCATCACTGATACCCTTTCTTCCAGTTGATTGCATTGGCTCCTTAGGCTTCTGCATTCTTCATGTAGTTCTCGAGCCTTGGCTTTCAGCTCCATCAGCTCCTTTAAGCACTTCTCTGTATTGGTTATTCTAGTTATACATTCGTCTAAATTTTTTTCAAAGTTTTTAACTTCTTTACCTTTGGTTTGAATTTCCTCCTGTAGCTCGGAGTAGTTTGATCATCTGAAGCCTTCTTCTCTCAACTCGTCAAAGTCATTCTCTGTCCAGCTTTGTTCCACTGCTGGTGAGGAACTGCGTTCCTTTGGAGGAGGAGAGGCGCTCTGCTTTTTAGAGTTTCCAGTTTTTCTGCTCTGTTTTTTCCCCATCTTTGTGGTCTTATCTACTTTTGGTCTTTGATGATGGTGATGTACAGTTGGGTTTTTGTTGTGGATGTCCTTTCTGTTTGTTAGTTTTCCTTCTAACAGAGAGGACCCTCAGCTGCAGGTCTGTTGAAGTTTGCTAGAGGTCCACGCCAGACCCTGTTTGCGTGGGTATCAGCAGCAGTGGCTGCAGAACAGCGGATTTTCATGAATCGCGAATGCTGCTGTCTGATCGTTCCTCTGGAAGTTTTGTCTCAGAGGAGTACCCGGCTGTGTGAGGTGTCAGTCTGCCCCTATTGGGGGGTGCCTCCCAGTTAGGCTGCTCGGGGGTCAGGGGTCAGGGACCAACTTGAGGAGGCAGTCTGCCCATTCTCAGATCTCCAGCTGCATGCTGGGAGAACCACTGCTCTCTTCAAAGCTGTCAGACAGGGACATTTAAGTCTGCAGAGGTTACTGCTATCTTTTGGTTTGTCTATGCCCTGCCCCCAGAGGTGGAGCCTACAGAGGCAGGCAGGCCTCCTTGAGCTGTGGTGGGCTCCACCCAGTTCGAGCTTCCCGGCTGCTTTGTTTACCTAAGCAAGCCTGGGCAATGGCGGGCGCCCCTCCCCCAGCCTAGCTGTTGCCTTGCAGTTTGATCTCAGACTGCTGTGCTAGCAATCGGTGAGACTCCGTGGGCATAGGACCCTCCGAGCCAGGTGTGGGATATAATCTCCTGGTGCGCCGTTTTTTAAGCCCGTCGGAAAAGCACAGTACTAGGGTGGGAGTGACCCAATTTTCCAGGTGCCATCTGTCACCCCTTTCTTTGACTCGGAAAGGGAACTCCCTGACCCCTTGCGCTTCCCAAGTGAGGCAATGCCTTGCCCTGTTTCGGCTCGCACACAGTGCGCTGCGCCCACTGTCCTGCACCCACTGTCTGCCACTCCCTAATGAGATGAACCCGGTACCTCAGATGGAAATGCAGAAATCACCCATCTTCTGCGTCGCTCACGCTGGGAGCTGTAGACCGGAGCTGTTCCTATTCGGCCATCTTGGCTCCCCTCCTAATTAATTTTTATTGATACATGGTAGTTGTACATATTTTGGTGGTACATGTGATAATTTGATATATTGATATAATCAAATCAAGGTAACTGGCATATGCATCACCTTAGATATTTATATTTTCTTTACGCTATACTTTCTTTTCTTATCATTATTCAAGTATGTAGGTCCCCATGAGGCAACTCTCTATAGGTTTTTGGACAGCTTAGGGTCCATCTTCCTTTTAAACTAGAAAAGAACAATTTTACATGAAATTGCTTCCTATGCCACAGGAGCAAGATACCTGCTCTCTGAAGTCATTGTCCAGTCACCAGGTGTTCCATTTATGTAATGTTATTGTAACAAAACACCCAGAGCTTAGTTGCTTAAAACAACCACAACATTTATTTTTCTTCCAAGTCAGCAATTTGTGTCGTGTTCAGTGGGGACAACTGGTCTCTGCTCTACTTCCTGTCACCTGGCATGGCTTGAAGGCTGGGGGCTGGAATCATCTGCAGTGTCACCCGTTTTCATGTTTGGCAGTTGAGGCAATGCTAGCTCTTGTCCGATGCCTCAGCTGGGGCCACATATTTCTATGTGGCTGCCTGGCATCCTCACAGCATGATGCCTGGGTTTCAAAGGTGAGCATCTCAAAAGAGAGAGAGCCTGATGGAAACTGTATTGCCTTTTCTAACATAGGCTTGATTGAAAGTCAGCCAAGTCACTTTTGCCACATTCTATTCATTACGAGTGAAGGGAAAGGGAATTAGATCCCATCTTTTAATAAGAGGCATGTCAAGGAATTTACTGATATGTTTTAAAACCACCACACCAGCCACTTTCCCTAACCTATAGAGGGATAGAAGCATCTCAGCTCTCATGGTCAAAACTGGGAGCTTTAGAGATAGCAAGGCTTCCCTGATACCCAGTGTCAACTTAACTACATTCTTGAAGGAACTCCTCTGGAAATCCAGAGAGCTGGCTCTGTCCTCCCTGCCCAGCATAATCCTTCCCTCTTCTGAGATCACAGCACTCACACTCTCATCATGACACCGCCTCAATCACTATTCCATATTTTAATTCTTAGTAATATAGAACTTTGCCTTTCTGGCCTTGTCTAGGTCATAGGCTCCTAGAAAGTACTAAGCATGTACTATACATGTCATTTCTGAGTACCTTTCACAGTATTTTAAACAGTACTATACTCATACATTGTGAAATGGGGGAAAAAAAGAATGAGGGTTTTTTTCTTTTTTACTTTCCAAAATACCTAAAAATAGAAATCCACTCTAATTTTTACACTACATGTGCTGTAAAATACACATACACAAACTCTATGAATTACTCTGCAAATTATGTGAAATATCAGATTCTCAGACCCCTCCTGAAATATCATCTAGGATACAACCATCCTATTATTTCCTGGGATTTGACAAACATTGCCTTATTCAAATCTCACAATAAATCTATGAGGATAGTCCTATTACTTTTTCCTTGCTTCTCCCATGAGAAAAATTAAGTTAAGAGTGAGATATCCCCATGTTCACACCGATCCGTAAGTGGGAGAGCTGGAGCCCGAATCTGTGTCTGCCTGAATCCAATCCAGGGACCCCATCAACAAAGAAGCTCAAGTCCAGAGAGAAGCAGAGACTTGCCCGAGTTTAAGATTTGAGCATCTTAATTCCCAATTTAAAGTTCTGCTCAAATTAATAAGGGAAAATTATTTCCTCACTAAGTTCAAAGTTACAGTCTGTTCTCCCCCAACCTGAAATTTCAGGCCACATCTTTTGTCTTATTTTTTTCCTATCAGGCCTGAATTCAAATAAGTTGGAAAGGGGAAAAGGGCAAAAAAAATCATAGAAAGAGGGAGTTCTGATAATACAACATCCTGCCACATGAAAAGGTCATGGTGGTCTGTTTCAGTCTGTAATAGGCTATAATTTGAGCAACCCCAGCCATGAAATACTGGGCAATTTTCTGACCTTTTTAGCTGTGGCTGCAGGTGCTTTGATTCTTGGGACATTCTATATCTATATTTGAAACTAACTAAAAAGAAAAGAAAAAAAGTGTTTCTAGATACTCTGCTCTTGTAATATAAAATATAACCTGCAGGCATGTGTGGCAGACATTAGCTGTTGCTGGGTTTTTTTGTGCTTTGTGTTGTTTTGGCCACCAAATGTCTGAATGGATGACCCATCTTAGGAATGTTGGAGGCACAGGGTTCATCTATCACCATAAAAACTAAAAAGGCAAGACACTCCTATCCCAGCATCCTCATAGCTAGGGCATGAGACCTGGGCTTGATCAATCAGACACCTCTATCTTGGACTTTGAGCAACGGCCTAGTGATACAAATTAGCAGGAATAGAGGAGAATCTATTCTGGAAGTAGGAATAACAGTGGCAGCAGAAGCTTCCAGTTTTCAAAGACAGCAAATCAGGGACAGCATCCTCTGCCCAGTGCCAGCGGCAAAACGAGCCATGGCATCAACATTCCATGATGGAGACAGCTATGTCTTCTAAGACTGGGGCTTAGCATGCTCTTGGCTGTGGTGGTGGCTGCTACCCATAATCCCTTGTTTCTGTCCATATTCTGAGCCTAGATCCCTGTCCTTCCCAGTGATTCTGTCAGCAAATCAATATCACTTTAATAAATTCCTCTTCTGTTGAAGTTAGCCAGAGGCAGTTTCTTCTGCTTACAACTAAGAACCCCAAAACAACAAGGAATAAAATACAAATGTAATAAAAAGATGGAATGGGGTATGGGTAGAATTTCATAAAGAAATTGTATTCAAATGTACTTGATGAAAAGTTTAACTCAAACTGATTCATGTATAAAGGAGTCAATACATCTGCCTGTTATCATGTTTTTACAATTTTTATAACAGGATCAAAATGCAGACTGATTTCTTACCCATAGCTTGGTATCCCTGTAGATATCTCTATTTCTGTCAGAGATATCATCAACTTCCTCATCGCTCAAGCTTGAAACCCCACAATTATTTTCATCTCTTACTTCTTCCTTATATCCATGATATGGTTTGGTGGGATCCCCAACTAAATCTCATTTTGAACTGTAGTTTCCATAATCCCCACATTTACCTTTATAAATCACCTTGTTTCAGGTATGTTCTTATAGCAGTGTGAGAACAGACCAATAGAATCTGTTAACCAAATACTTTCTATATTCCTTTATAATAACCTCTCAGGTCTCTTCCTGTCTTTCATACTCTCAGTGGCCAAACTTAATACAGGAACTTTTCACCTCCCACGTGAGCTACTGCTATGATTTTTTAAACTGGCCTACTACCTACAATGTATCCTGTGCCAAATTAATCTTCCCAAGATACTATTTGTGTCTTCTCACTCTTCAGGTCAAAAATCTTCAATGACTGACTATTGCCTACAGAATAAAATCCAAACTACTCAGCACAACATACGAGACCTCTTATAATACAATGCCTTCTTACCTTTCCAATTCAACCACCATATGTTTCCTTATATTACTACCATATTGTTCGACCAAGGAACATATTTTTAAACACAATATGTTGATTTTAAAATTTTTAAAATTTAAAAAAAAATTTAGAGACAGGGTCTCACTCTGTTGCTCAGGCTGGAGTGCATTGGTACAATCATAGCTCAATGTAACCTCAAACTCCTGGGACCACGCTATCTTCCCACCTCTGCCTCTCAAATAGCTGCGACTACAGGCATGTACCACCATGCCTGGCTAATTATATTTTTTTAGATACAGGGTCTCAGTATGCTACACAGGCTGATCTTGACCTCCTGCGCTCAAGCAATTCTCCCACCTTGACCTCCCAATGCCCTGGGATTACAGGCATGAGCCACCATACCTGGCCTGATTTTTTTTTTCTAGATAGAGTCTCGCTCTGTCACCAGGCTGGAGTGCAGTAGCACGATCTCGGCCCACTGCAACCACTGCCTCTCGGGCTTAAGCGATTCTCCTGCCTCAGCCTCCCAAGTAGCTGGGACCACAGGTGTGCATCACCACACGCAGCTAATTTTTGTATTTTTAGTAGAGACGGGGTTTCACCATGTTGGCCAGAATGGTCTCGATCTCTTGACCTCGTGATCTGCCCACATCAGCCTCCCAAAGTGCTGGGATTACAGGTGTAAACCACCATGCCTGGCCCTGATTTTTTATAAACAGAAAACCAAGTGATATAATACAAGTTTAAATAAAGAATGTGGCAATTTAACTCAGGAGGCTGAGGTGAAAGGATTGCTTGAGTCCAGGACTTGGAGGCTGCAGTGAGCTACAATCATGCCACTGCACTCCTGGGCAACAGAGTGAGACCTTGTCTCTTAAAAAAAAAAAAAAGAATAAGAATGCAGCAATTTAAAAATCACCACAGAAAAGTTATAAGAAGATCTTTATAGTTACAATGTTATGCTAAAAATAACTATACTAAAAAAGACAATTACGTATAAAATGCTTACCACATGCCAGACAATGTTCTAAATGTCCTATTAGTATTGTCTATATGAACATTACTGTAGCTTTATAAGGTAGGTGTTATAATCTCATTTACATGTAGGAAAATTGGAATGTTGAGAGGCTAAGAAATATATTTAAAATCATTCAGGAAGGGGGTGGAGCCAAGATGGCCAAATAGGAAAAGCTAAAGTCTACAGCTCCCAGTGTGAGCAATGCAGAAGATGGGTGATTTCTGCATTTCCAACTGAGGTACCGGGTTCATCTCACTAGGGAGTGTCGGTAAGTGGGTGCAGGACAGTGGGTGCAGTGCACTGAGCATGAGCAGAAGCAGGCATCGCCTCACCCAGGAAGCACAAGGGGTCAGGGAATTCCCTTTCCTAGTCAAAGAAAGGGGTGACAGATGGCACCTGGAAAATCAGGTCACTCCCACCCTAATACTGAGCTTTTCCAACAGTCTTAGCAAATGGCACACTGGGGGATTATATCCTGCACCTGGCTCGGAGGGTCCTATGCCCACAGAGCCTCACTCATTGCTAGCACAGCAGTCTGAGATCAAACTGCAAGGCAGCAGCAAGGCTGGGGGAGGGGCGCCCGCCATTGCCGAGGCTCGAGCAGGTAAACAAAGCGCCTGGGAAGCTCAAACTGGGTGGAGTCCACCACAGCTCAAGGAGGCCTGCCTGCCTCTGCAGACTCCACCTATGGGGGCAGGGCATAGCCAAACAAAAGGCAGCAGAATCCTCTGCAGACTTAAAAGTCCCTGTCTGACAGCTTTGAAGAGAGTAGTGGTTCTCCCAGCACGCAGCTGGAGATCTGAGAATGGACAGACTGCCTCCTCAAGTGGGTCCCTGACCTTCGAGTAGCCTAACTGGGAGGCACCCCCCAATAGAGGCAGACTGACACCTCACACGGCCGGGTACTCCTCTGAGACAAAACTTCCAGAGGAATGATCAGTCAGCAACATTTGCTGTTCACCAATATCCACTGTTCTGCAGCCTCTGCTGCTGATACCCAAAAAAACAGGGTCTGGAGTGGACC
This sequence comes from Homo sapiens, assembly GCF_000001405.40. Classification (NCBI taxonomy): domain Eukaryota; kingdom Metazoa; phylum Chordata; class Mammalia; order Primates; family Hominidae; genus Homo; species Homo sapiens. The sequence goes on along the minus strand of NC_000005.10, from coordinate 155,162,859 downwards.
TCCAGAAAACTCCAACAGACCTGCAGCTGAGGGTCCTGACTGTTAGAAGGAAAACTAACAAACAGAAAAGACATCCACACCAAAACCCCATCTGTACGCCACCATCACCAAAGACCAAAGGTAGATAAAACCACAAAGATAGGGAAAAAACAGAGCAGAAAAACTGGAAACTCTAAAAATCAGAGTGCCTCTCCTCCTCCAAAGGAATGCAGCTCCTCATCACCAATGGAACAAAGCTGGATGGAGAATGACTTTGATGAGTCATCAGAAGAAGGCTTCACACGATCAAACTACCTCGAACTAAAGGAGGAAGTTCAAAACCGTGGCAAAGGAGGTAAAAACCTTGAAAAAAAATCAGATGAATGGCTGACTAGAATAACCAATGCAGAGAAGTCCTTAAAGGACCTGATGGAGCTGAAAACCAAGGCACGAGAACTACGCGACGAATGCACAAGCCTCAGTAGCCGATTCAATCAACTGGAAGAAAGGGTAGCAGTGATGGAAGATCAAATGAATGAAATGAAGCAAGAAAAGAAGTTTAGAAAAAAAAAAAGAATAAAAACAAACAAACAAAGACTCCAAGAAATATGGGACTATGTGAAAAGACCAAATCTACATCTGATTGGTGTACCTGAAAGTAACGGGGAGAATGGAACCAAGTTGGAAAACACTCTGCAGGATATTATCCAGGAGAACCTCCCCAATCTGGCAAGGCAGGCCAACATTCAAATTCAGGAAATACAGAGAACACCACAAAGATACTCCTTGAGAAGAGCAACTCCAAGACACATAATTGTCAGATTCACCAAAGTTGAAATGAAGCAAAAAATGTTAAGGGCAGCCAGAGAGAAAGGTCGGGTTACCCACAAAGGGAAGTCCATCAGACTAACAGCTGATCTCTTGGCAGAAACTCTACAAGCCAGAAGAAAGTGGGGGCCAATATTCAACATTCTTAAAGAAAAGAATTTTCAACCCAGAATTTCATATCCAGCCAAAGTAAGCTTCATAAGTGAAGGAGAAATAAAATACTTTACAGACAAGGAAATGCTGAGAGATTCTGTCACCACCAGGCTTGCCCTAAAAGAGTTCCTGAAGGAAGCACTAAACATGGAAAGGAACAACCGGTACCAGCCACTGCAAACACGTGCCAAATTGTAAAGACCATCGAGGCTAGGAAGAAACTGCATCAACTAACGAGCAAAATAACCAGCTAACATCATAACGACAGGATCAAATTCACACATAACAATATTAACCTTAAATGTAAATGGGCTAAATGCTCCAATTAAAAGACACAGACTGGCAAATTGGATAAAGAATCAAGACCCATCAGTGTGCTGTATTCAGGAAACCCATCTCATGTGCAGAGACACACATAGGCTCAAAATAAAAGGATGGAGGAAGATCTACCAAGCAAATGGAAAACAAAAAAAGGCAGGGGTTGCAATCCTAGTCTCGGATAAAACAGACTTTAAACCAACAAAGATCAAAAGAGACAAAGAAGGCCTTTACATAATGGTAAAGGGATCAATTCAACAAGAAGAGCTAACTATCCTAAATATATATGCACCCAATACAGGAGCACCCAGATTCATAAAGCAAGTCCTTAGAGACCTAGAAAGAGACTTAGACTCCCACACAATAATAATGGGAGACTTTAACACCCCACTGTCAACATTGGACAGATCAACAAGACGGAAAGTTAACAAGGATATCCAGGAATTGAACTCAGCTCTGCACCAAGAGGACCTAATAGACATCTACAGAACTCTCCACCCCAAATCAACAGAATATACATTCTTCTCAGCACCACACCACACTTATTCCAAAATTGACCACATAGTTGGAAGTAAAGCTCTCCTCAGGAAATGTAAAAGAACAGAAATTATAACAAACTGTCTCTCAGACCACAGTGTAATCAAACTAGAACTCAGGATTAAGAAACTCACTCAAAACCGCTCAACTACACGGAAAATGAACAACCTGCTCCTGAATGACTACTGGGTACATAACGAAATGAAGGCAGAAATAAAGATGTTCTTTGAAACCAGTGAGAACAAAGACACAACATACCAGAATCTCTGGGACACATTCAAAGCAGTGTGTAGAGGGAAATTTATAGCACTAAATGCCCACAAGAGAAAGCAGGAAAGATCCAAAATTGACACCCTAACATCACAATTAAAAGAACTAGAAAAGCAAGAGCAAACACATTCAAAAGCTAGCAGAAGGCAAGAAATAACTAAGATCAGAGCAGAACTGAAGGAAATAGAGACACAAAAACCCTTCAAAAAAATCAGTGAATCCAGGAGCTGGTTTTTTGAAAAGACCAACAAAATTGATAGACCGCTAGCAAGACTAATAAAGAAGAAAAGAGAGAAGAATCAAATGGACGCAATAAAAAATGATAAAGGGGATATCACCACCAATCCCACAGAAATACAAACTACCATCAGAGAATACCATAAACACCTCTATGCAAATAAACTAGAAAATCTAGAAGAAATGGATAAATTCCTCGACACATACAACCTCCCAAGACTAAACCAGGAAGAAGTTGAATCTCTGAATAGACCAATAACAGGCTCTGAAATTGAGGCAATAATTAATAGCTTACCAACCAAAAAAAGTCCAGGACCAGACGGATTCACAGCCGAATTCTACCAGAGGTAAAAGGAGGAGCTGGTACCATTCCTTCTGAAACTATCCCAATCAATAGAAAAAGAGGGAATCCTCCCTAACCCATTTTATGAGGCCGGCATCACCCTGATACCAAAGCCTGGCAGAGACACAACAAAAAAAGAGAATTTTAGACCAATATCCCTGATGAACATTGATACAAAAATCCTCAATAAAATACTGGCAAACCGAATCCAGCAGCACATCAAAAAGCTTATCAGTCATGATCAAGTGGGCTTCATACCTGGGATGCAAGGCTGGTTCATATGCAAATCAATAAACATAATCCAACATATAAACAGTACCAAAGACAAAAACCACATGATTATCTCAATAGATGCAGAAAAGGCCTTTGACAAAATTCAACAACCCTTCATGCTAAAAACTCTCAATAAATTAGGTATTGATGGGATGTATCTCAAAATAATGAGAGCTATCTATGACAAACCCACAGCCAATATCATACTGAATGGGCAAAAACTGGAAGCATT